>NC_000003.12:195064569-195215569 GCF_000001405.40 Homo sapiens
CTTACTACCTTAACCTACAAACTCCTGGTGTGCTCTAGGTTGGGCCTGTGAACCAACACATCATACTTTGACTTGATGAAATGCTGTTGAAGGAGAGGCCGCAGTCTGTTTGGTTTGACACACACAGAAGAGCAAATCTCTTCAGCAAGCCTGCGTGCTTTCCAAAGGCCATCATCATTTGTAGGGTGGACTTTGTGTATACACAAAAGATGACAGTATATGAGAAATGAAAGCAGGGTCTGGAGCTGCTATTATTAGATCGCTTTTATTTGGAGAACTGGGGCATCCACAGGGAAGTTGAAGACCCAGAGCCGACTCAGCCTAGATTATGTGTTCTTAGGGGTGACATCGGCCATGGACAGCCGGGAGCTGTAAGACGGCCAGGCTGACACTCACCTGGAACTGGGGAGAAGGGATGTGGTTAAAAATGTACAGCATTTATTATCTTATAATAAAGGTAATTAATACTCGATGTGGAAAATACAGAAATATAGATGAAAACAAAAAGCACCTTAATCCTAGCACCCAGACATGTTATCTTTTCAGATTTCTGTTTTCCTCATATGTACAGGCGTATTCTCGAGAGTGGGTTTCCATGAAGCAAGTTAAGCACAGCACAAGGAACTATGCTTGCATGACAGCAACTGTAACAGGACCCAGGTCAGGAGCTGGCACTCCACGACTTGTCAAGCACGGCAATGGCGAGGCACAGCAAGCCCCGGCTGCTCTGTCAGCGGGCTGGGGTGTGATCTGTGGGCGGGCTGGGGTGCCTGTGCGGTGATCTGTGGGCGGGCTGGGGTGTGATCTGTCGGCGGGCTGGGGTGCCTGTGCGGTGATCTGTCGGGCTGGGGAGTGATCTGTCGGGGGGATGGGGTTTGAACTGTCAGCAGGCTCGGGTGCCTGTGCAGTGATCTGTCAGCGGGTTGGGGTGTGACCTGTGGGCGGGCTGGGGTGCCTGTGCGGTGATCTGTGGGCGGGCTGGGGTGCCTGTGCGGTGACCTGTGGGCGGGCTGGGGTGCCTGTGCGGTGATCTGTCGGCGGGCCAGGGTGTGATCTGTTGGCGGGCCGGGGTGTGATCTGTTGGCGGGCCGGGGTGTGATCTGTCGGCGCTCTGTGATCTGTCAGCGGCCTGGGGTGTGATCTCTCAGCGGGCTGGGGTGCCTGTGCGGTGATCTGTTTGCGGGCTGGGGTGTGAGCTGTCGGCGGTCTGGGGTGTGATCTGTCGGCGGTCTGGGGTGTGATCTGTCGGCGGTCTGGGGTGTGATCTGTCAGCGGGCTGGGGTGCCTGTGCAGTGATCTGTCGGGGGGCTGAGGTGTGATCTGTGGGCGGGCTGGGGTGACTCTGCAGTGATCTGTCGGCAGGCTGGGGTGTGATCTGTCGGGCTCGGGTGTGATCTGTCGGCGGGCTGGGGTGCCTGTGCAGTGATCTGTCGGTGGGCTGAGGTGTGATCTGTGGGCAGTTTGGGGTGCCTGTGCAGTGATCTGTTGGTGGGCCGGGGTGTGATCTGTTGGCGGTCTGTGGTGTGACCTGTCAGCGGTCTGGGGTGTGATCTGTCAGCGGGCTGGGGTGCCTGTGCAGTGATCTGTTGGTGGGCTGGGTGTGATCTGTTGACGGGCTGGGGTGTGATCTGTCAGTGGGCTGGGGTGTGATCTGTGGGCGGGCTGGGGTGCCTGTGCAGTGATCTGTCGGCGGGCCGGGGTGTGATCTGTGGGCGGGCTGGGGTGCCTGTGCAGTGATCTGTCCGCAGGCTGGGGTGTGATCTGTCGGCGGGCTGGGGTGTGATCTGTGGGCAGGCTGGGGTGCCTGTGCGGTGATCTGTCGGGGGGCTGGGGTGTGATCTGTGGGCGGGCTGGGGTGCCTGTGCGGTGATCTGTGGGCGGGCTGGGGTGCCTGTGAAGTCATCTGTCGGTGGGCCGGGGTGTGATCTGTCGGCAGGCTGTGGAGTGATCTGTCGGTGGGCTGGCTGCCTGTGTGGTGATCCGTCGGCGGGCTGGGGTGCCTATGTGGTGATCTGTCAGCAGGCTGGGGTGTGATCTGTCTATGGGCCAGGGTGTGATCTGTTGGTGGGCTGCAGTGTGATCTGTCGGGCTGGGGTGTGATCTGTCCGCGGGCCGGGGTGGGATCTGTTGGTGGGCTGCGGTGGGACCTGTCAGCGGGCTGGGGTGTGATCTGTCAGCGGGCTGGGGTGTGATCTGTGGGTGGGCTGGGGTGCCTGTGCAGTGACAGTCTGCTGTGCACTGGGGGGTTGGAAGGTCGAGGCCACTGGTGACAGAGGGGAAGCTCCTGAGAGGTTTACTTAAAAGTAAATGAGGGATGTTGTTTGGCCTTTGCCCATTTTGACCAACCAGCTTATTGTTTTTTTCTTGCAACAACAAAATACACACATAGCTATAGACACATTTTAATTATAGAAAGGATTGCAGGGAAAATACCTTTATTATTGTGAGTCTAAAATTCTTTAGCCTTTAACTCACTTTTTTCCCGTTGAAATAATTGTTTTTTTAATGTGGTGTTTGAAACACCTATGTTTTTAGAAGTTGAAATACAGCAGAATAGATGCTCTTTTTATACATACGTGTGTGTGTAGGTATGTATCTATACACACGTGTGTACACTGATATACATACACATATATGTAATTTTAAAAATAGGATCGTATTAAACATATGATCTTACATTTTGCATTCTTTATTTAATAGCACATTCTAAGTATTTCCTGAGGCATTACATATTCTTCGAATAATGCCTCAAGTATTCTGTTATATGGATGAAGCATATTATTCATCTACCTATTCCATTCTTTTTTTTTTTTTTTTTTTTTTTTTTTTAAAGACAGACAGAGTCTTGCCCGGTCCCCCAGGCTGGAGTGTAGTGTCGTGATCTCAGCTCACTGCAGCCTCTGCCTCCTGGGTTTGAGTGATCCTCCCAGCTCAGCCTCCTGAATAGCTGGGCGTGCACCACCATGCCCAGCTAATTTTTGTATAGTTGTAGACACTGGGCCTTGCCATGTTGCCCAGGCTGGTCTTGAACTCCTGGGCTCAAGAGATCTGCCGGCCTCAGCCTCTGAAAGTGCTGGGATTACATGTGTGAGCCACCGCGCCTGGCCCCTCTTTTTCACATTTTAAGTTGCTTCCAATTTTCTTCTACTATAAAAAATGTGATAAACATATAGTATATGACTCTGTCCACATCTCTCACATTTTCTTACAGTCGACTTTAGACATAATGACCTTCATGAAGTTTTCATAAACATTATCAATAGCGTAATAAATCCCCCAATACAATGGCTGGTGCACAGCAGGCATTCAAGAATTGTTACCTATAAATAGGAAATCAAGTAGGTGAGAGAACAGACCAATTCTGTCACAGCAGAGGGCTGGGAAAGATATCTGCTCCACCTCTTCAGGGCAGGATGTAACTGGGCAGTCTAGGGTAAGAGGGATGAGAAGAAATGGGGATGCTTTTGCTCCCCAGTGCAGGTGGACCTGCCAATACCTAGAATGAAATGATTCCTTGCTTTGAACCAAACATGCCAATACTACCCTCTCTGACACCCTCTCAGATGTGCCCTCTCCTTGGTCCTTAGGATCTCCTGTAAGCACTCATCTTCATCAGGGGAGGTGGGGATTCCAATGGCATTGAGTACACACTTGATTCAGAGCCTTCATGCAGCTGAAACTGTGATCAGAGAACAAACAACATGAATCACCATGTTCTCAAAGATGATTTATTGGCTATCCTCACTCATGGGAAAAAGAAAAACGTAAATGAAATCAAAACAAAACAAGATGAAAATTGATACAAATGGACCCCTGGGGCTTTCACGTCTGCAGCCTACGTACAGGAGGCCCCATCAAAAGAAATGACGCTTTAATTTCTGCTAAGGTCTACGGTCTAACGTGGTATGATAAGGGGATTTTTTAAACAAAGAAACTAGAATGCTTACTAGCCCATGAGTGACATGTCTTCCAAGCCCACATGGTCACACTTGGGAATTGCTGGGTTCCTTTTTGGTTTTTTTTTTTTTTTTGAGATGGACGTCTCACTCTGTCGTCCAGGCTGGAGTGCAGTGGTGTGATCACAGCTCAGTGCAGTGAACTCCTGGACTCAAGCCACCCTCCCACTTCAGCCTCCCAAGTAGCCGGGACAACAAGCACAAGCCACCACACCTGGCTAATTTTTAAAATATTTTGTAGCGATGGGGGCCTCCCTGTGTTTCCCAGGCTGATCTCGACCTCCGAGGCTCAATCGATACCCCCACCTCGGTCTCCCAAAGTGTTGGGATTACAGGCTTGACGACTGTGCCCGGCCTGGGCTTTTTGGAATGAGTCTTCCTGGTCCCGACAGTTCTCCTGCATGTCCTTGTGGTGGCCAGTCTCTGTTCTTTGATGACGAATTTGCTTTCTGAGTAGAGTCTGGTCACCTGGAGCTGGTTTGGTGGAATAAAGGACAATGGGGTTCTAGGATGTAGCTGGGAGATACAAGCTGTGAGTACTCTAATAATGAGATAAGTTTTCTTATGCAGGCCCCAGTTGGTCCTGAAGTCCTTCCTCAAAGAGGCGATCCTGAAACCTACACCAAGTGACGTGAGCATCAGGAGAATGCGCGTGCAGCAGCCTCCCAGGGTGAGTATGTGATGGGCTGGCATTCGTTTGGAAGCTTAGATACTGGGCTGGTCATTAAAACCTTGGCTTACCTTACCCGTTTGGGGCTCGATGGGTGCTAAAGCAGTTCTGTTTGTACTTTCTCGAAAAATGGAAGGCTGTCAATTTAAATTAAATTTATATTGGTCCAAAAAAGGCCGGGTCTAAAGGATTTCCATTCCTCAGAGGCAGACAGCAAGGGGGACCCTTTCTCCCCTTCCTTCTCTTCAAGTGCTTGCTTCCCAGCCCACTGGACATGCGTGTCCTTTGTGTCGCCTGCTCCCTGGAGGAATAAGGTCCCAAGCACCAGCAGTGCACAGGCCAGTCCTTGGCGGGTGGCCTCAGCACAGTGACCTGCCCGGCAGGAGGTCTCAGCACCTTAATCACAGGACTTCCCTGCGGTGTCTCTCTAGCGGGTCAGACACTGCCCTTGGGTCTGTCCCAAGGAACCCTGTCCTTCCCCCAGATCTGGAGGCCCCGGGGGCAAGGCACGGGGAGCGCCTAGTCCTCCGGGATGGGAGTGTTGCAGTTCCCGTGGTAGATCTTGACGTGGCCCTCACACCTGAAATAGGCCTCGAAGACGTCACTGTAGCCATGGTCCCTCCACCAGGTGCACAGCTGCCGGTTCCAGGTACAGTCCAGCACATGGAAGAGCTTGGGGTGCTCCATGCCGATCATGGTGAAGAAGTCCTGGTCCCCGAGGTGGCCGCGGAAGTGGTACTTGTCGGCCAGCTGCTGCACCTGCGCCGGCTCCAGCAGGCGGCTGTAGAGCGGGGACTGGCGCATGGCCTCCAGGTTCAGCAACATCACCCCGCTGTTGAAGCCCGGCAGCCCCTCGGGGGGCGGGCCCCCAACCCGGGTCTGGGGGTTCTCATGGCGGAACTGCCAGAATGTGTGCCTGTGGAGAGAGAGGACAGAGTTAGTCCGGTGTGCAGGGGAACCAGCCTGCCGGCCTGCTGCCCTGGGTCTTCACAGCCAGCCTGCATGCAAACACTGCCACATTCCGGGGTGCAGAATCCGCATCACTACACCAGCAAGTGGCAGAGCTGGGACCTGAACCCAGGGCTCTGGACCCCAAGCCTCAGATTCTTTCTACCATCCTCTGCTACGTCCTCACCACAGCCAACATTGATATTATTGACTGAGGATGTACCAGGCGCCATACTAGACCGGCTTACTTACTCCCCACACAACCCCAGGGGATGGGTGCTCTGAGATGATACATCATTTCACAGCCAAGAAAACGGACGCACAGAGAGGTCAAGGTATTTGCCCAAAGTCACACACCTAGTAAGCAGCAGACGCAGGGACTAAACCCAGACAATCTGGCTCCAAAGTCCACATTCTTAAGATAGCAGCAATCTAGGTAGAACTTTCCACCCCCTTGTCTTCACCTGTGATCTTGAAAAGGAGAAGGGAGAGAGAAGCAGGGGACACAATCCTGAACAGAGATCTCATCAAGACGCAGGCAGCTGAACCCTGACTGGAACAGAACTGTTTTCTGCTTTAGAACAAGGCTCATTCATTGAGCCCCAAGCCTGGCACTTCAGAAAGGCTGGGCAGGGGCTGGGGGCCTGCGACAGCCCAGGGCACACCATGGGTTAGGGTGAAAGACAGCTGTAGAAGAGCCATGTAGGATGATGTCTACTTTAGAAGGAATGTCACTTCAAGTTCAATTTTTCTCTCAGCAGATTTAGAAACCAATCTAGGTTCATAGTTCAGGGAGTGTTAGCCTCTTCTAGGTCCTCTACCCAAATGCTTCCATCTGGAGGGGAGAAGAAAGACCTAGACACCTCCCTGTGAGGGCCAGGGTTAAAGCGCTGCACTGTCCTCCAGCCTCTTTAATAGCTAAGCCTCATGTGTGCTGCAAGGGGTGTGCAGGTGGAGGGGAGAGGCGTCCAAGCCCACACCCACAGAGGAGGGGCCACAGCAATCGTGCCGGTGACCTGGAGGAAGGAGGACCATCAGGAGGCCCACTGTGGCAGGGACAGGCGTGGGAGTGGGTCCTCACGGGGAGGACACATCGTGGCAGAACCAGCTCTGCCTCCCAGCCTGGAGATGCTGCCCCACCGGCCCCCGCAGAGAGACTTCCCCACCCAAACCCAGGATAGGATCTGCGTGATGAAGCAGAAGGTACGGGGGAATAAAACCGGAGACCCTGCCCAGGGTGGCCCTGAGGGGCCACTTCTCAGCACCAGCACATTGCTCCGCTTCTGGGAACGGAGGAACCTTCCTCAAGGTCTCACGTATCACAGAGAGTGCCAAGAGTCTGATCCTGGCGAGGGGGAAGCATTCCCTCCGGACATTCTTACAGGGGAATCCACAGGGCCACTGCTTGTGTTCTGCTGTGAGTGGAACCGAGCTCTGGTGCCTGCCTGGTGGTAACAGCCTTGGCAAAAATAAGCTTCTCAAGCAAACTGAGATGCTGTCATCTTGCCACAAAAGTCTGCGGTGATAGGGTCACACAGGGTTGGGATGCAGTGTGGCAGCTGTGTGTTCATTTTACCCTATTTCTTCCCAGTGGTTCATTTCAGGACCAGGTTATAAAGCAGCTAAAATTCTACCAGGCAGACCAGGGCACCATGACATCAGAGAGGAGGGACCCTCTGACTAGGGGCAGTGGGTGCTTTACCACCAAGGAGCTCGATTTACCCTTCGAGGGGTGGGAACGAAGCGTTTACCGAGGTGGAGCAGAGACCCAAAGGGAGGGAGGGCACGAGAAGCAGGGAGGCAGGACCTGTGGCCGCCGAGGTCCTGGACTACCTCATGCTCCACGGAGCCCACGTGTCCATCTTTCTTTACTGTCCAGAGTACCCAGGAGGGAGAGGACTCACCCAGCTGGGGGTGTGGCCCGTGCAGTCTCTTGTGTCCACAGGACCTCACAGGGCACCAGCACAGCAGGGCCACAGGAAAGATCACAGGGCTGATGAGGAACGATGGAAAGGCAGGCGTGGGGTGGACCGTGCAGCTGTCGACACCGGGTGGAAGCAGGGGGCAGGACACTGAGGACACGATGCTGCACCTGCAGATTCACTGAGCCCTCAACCTCCCCACCAGATCTACTGTGGGGTTGAGTGAGGAGCAGGAACCCGGAGAGGCTCAGGTGTCTTTTTAAACGGCTTTACTCCTAGCAAGTGGGGAGCAAAGAGGCCGCCCACTGTTCCAGGTATCCTTACCAACCTCGGCAGGAACGCTCCCAAATCTTCTGTGTCTGCAGCAAGGAGGAGCAAACAGTGAACTAGCACTGAGCTCGCTGGGCTCAGGAGATGGGGGCCGCAGGCAGAGAGAAGAGGACAGAATATGCCTCCAGGAGAAGGCCACAGCACAAGTGGCTCTTTGGGGACAATGCTCAGCACCACCACTCAATCAGGATGAAGAGGTATTTGATGATGGTCAGAAAGGACTGGTCTGGGCATCAGCCTGAGAAGGAAAGGAGGGACAGGAAATTGGGCGTGCAAGCTGCCCCGTGTGTGTGCTGCAGCAGAAACACAGCCTGAAAAGGAACAATGACTGTCCCCACCCAAAGCGATGTTCAGGGGGCCCTTGTTCAAGGCGTCCCTACTATCCCCAAATGAACCCAGAAAGACAGAGCAGTCACCTAAGGGAATGGTGGGTTTCTCTGGCTTCTGTGTCTGCTGGTTCTCGTAGAGGAATCGCATCAGCCTCGGGGTAGAAGGAATGGTACGGGGTGTGGACAGTATTGGAGCTCGTGCGAGGAACTTCTATCCCATGGCAAAATGGCCTAAACAGGCAGTACCGCCAATCCCCCCAACGCAACAGCACAGCGTGGGTCACGAAGCCCTCTCACACTCTCCACCTCGGCTCCCTCTCCCTGGCAGCCCAGGGACATTACTGCCTGCATTTTTGCAGAAAGGGAACAGAGGTCCTCAGTTTGTCGCAGGCAGGGCTTCTGATCTCTGAGGTCCCTTTGATCTGACTGCCTCGGATTCCACGGGCTAGGGTTCCAAGGAGGTGCGCTTGGATTTCAATCTTATTTCTGAATTTGGGTGGCACCGGCCGAGGCCAGGGGACAGGGTGATCGGGTGATGCTGGCACATTAGGAACTTAGGGCTCAGACCTGAGGCCTCTACGAGGCAGGGCAGTGAGTGTCCCAGACCCCTGCCCTTCTTCACAGGAGTCTGGGGCTGACAACGTATATTCAGGGGCACTGTCTGTGGCACGTGCAGAGGCTGCAGGAAACCTTTGTATAAATGCAGGTATTTGGTTCTGAGTCCTGGAGCATCCAGAAGTTTCTCTGACTAACCCCTCCCCCCCTCATGCCCACAACCCAGCCACTTTGCTCTAACTATCTGGATTGTCTAACCGTCCGGCCTGTGGAGAGTCTTGTTCCTGTCTTCCATAGTCACCTGGAGACCCACGGTAGAGGGGATAAGCCTTTTTCACCCCTTTAGAAATAATTTCAACTGGAAAACAAGCCCCCACGCAGACAGTCCCTGGTAAATATTGGGTCTTTTCAGAAGTCAAGGAGGCCCTTTGGGAAAATAAAAATTAAGAAGCTTTAAGAACATTCTTCCAGTCATAAATGCATTTTCTAAATTTTTAACATTGAATATAACTTAATAATCATAAAAAAGACTATTAAAAGCTAGTCAACTAGTTTTCATGAAGAAAACCCATCTTTATGGAAAAGGGCATCTGAAGTCATTTGGAAAAGCACAGTTACTTCCTCGCTTCAAGTCTTTCCCTGATGATCACAACCAAGGCCGCTCTGCTAAGGGCTCTCGAGAGAGCCGGGCTGGAGAATCTAAGGGCTCGTCCTCCCCAGTAAAGGGCACACGTGGCCATCAGCCCTCCCACCTCCTCCTCCCACCACTCCAAACCACAGGCCCTTTTGCCTCCGACTCTTCGTGATTTTTTTTCTCCTGCCCCTTTCTCAGCTCCTCAGGTCGAGTTCACCACCACCACCTCCAAGAGGGAGGAAGCGAGGATGGGAAAATGCTGAGCCTGGGCTGTCTGCACAAGACTCTGCAGGAAGGTTCTAGAAGCCTGTGCTGACTCAGGCTAAGTTCAGGCTGTAGACTGTCAGGCAAAGAAGGCTCCATTTGAGGTCTGAGATTCAGCACACGGCCTCGCAAGGCGTACCTCTGGGGCGTCCTTCAGCCTTGAGAGCAGTCACTGAAGGGCCAGCATCTGGGCCTCCTCCCAGAGGAAGCACCCGGCCCAGAGGCTGTGCAGTCAGTGAGGCCTGGAACCCGGAAACGTGATTTCCCTCATACCCATGCATGTGTGCCTGGCCCAATGAGCTCGTTTGGCGTGGAAGGGACCTTGTTTTCCAGTCATCCAAGATGAGAGTCCAGGAGGGAAAAGCAACACTCAGCAGCTGTCCAGCACTTCATCCACACCAGCCAGGTCCTCTGGGGTGATCCAGGGACATTTCAAGTCCACCCAGGCCCAGAGGCTCTCCGGACACCCTGCGCCCTGGCTGGGTGATGTCGGCTAATTTCAGACCCATGACCCTGCATCTTGGTCCTACCTGGAGCTAAGGCTGAAGTTCTGTGGGGCAGTCTCGAGCTCTTCAGTCCTTTAGGGGAACCACTGCCCTGTGGTATCAAACTGGAGAAGACATGGACATCCTGGAGTTGTAGGACCACCACGGAGCTCTAAGTACCCGTGTCCCTAGAGCAGTCCTTACTGCCAGCTCAGAACTGACCCTTATTAGGATCTCTTGATAACAAGACCTAAAGCAGGCTGAGGTCTCCAGCTCTACTGGACAGAGAAGGTAAGAAGTGTTCCCAGGCCGGGAGCGGTGGCTCGCACCTGTAATCCCAGCACTTTGGGAGGCCGAGGTGGGCGGATCACCTGAGGTCAGGAGTTCGAGACCAGCCTGGCCAACATGACAAAACCCCGTCTCTACTAAAAATACAAAACTTAGCCGGGCATGGTGGCGTGCGCCTGTAATCCCAGCTACTCAGGAGGCTGAGGCAGGAGAATCGTTTGAACCCGGGAGGCAGAGGTTGCAGTGAGTTGAGATTGCACCATTGCACTCCAGCCTGGGCAACAAGAGTGAAACTCCGTCTCAAGAAAAAAGAATAAGTGTTCCTAACGTCACACAGGCCATTTGCAGTAGGACTAAGAGATGCTCCTCATAGAGCCACGGTCTACCAGAGCCTGAAGACTGAGGGACTCCTGGTTCATATACCCATTGTGCAGATGAGGAAGCTGAGGCTCAAAAACTGGCCTGTCCAGGGTCACGCTGCTGAAAGGGCAACTCCACATTTCCAGGCAAATAATTTATGCTTTTCCACAAATGCCTCTGCCCAGAAAAGGGAACTGCTGCCTCCCACCTACCCAAAACAAGCCCTGTGGTGAGGCGAGGCAGCACCGCTCAGACAAAGCCAGCCTGCCAGGAGGCGCAGAGGCTGTGCTTTCCCCTCCAGCAGGGCCCACGTCCTCCAAGCTCACCACACTAGCACTTGGAGGAGAGCTGGGTGCCCGAGTGGCTGGCAGGACTTGCCTGGGGAAATAGGAGGGACACTAAGCAGGTGGCAGGCATGTGCTCACCCTCGTCTGTGGGACCTCCTAAGAAACATGTGCTTGTTTTCAAACCCCAGCCCTCTTTGAAGGCCAGCAACTGAGTTGCCAAACCACAACATCCCCAGAACTTGGAAGGGGCAAGCGAGGTCGAGGCGCGGCTGTTGCTTTGCAGGCTGAGTGGGCACTGGGGTTGGCCCTCAGTGCTGCAACCAGGCTGCCTGGCAGGACAGGAGAGGACTGCTGGGGCACCGGGCCCCACAGAGACCCTGTGGGGAGGCACACCGCAGAGGGCTTCCCCTCCAGGCCCTCCCTCCAACATGAGCCACAGCTCCTCCCCTCCAGAAAGAACCAGCACCACGGCCTCCGCCTCCTGGAGCCTCTCCCCGCACGCTGGAGGCTGCCAGGGCCCTGCTTTGCAACTGCTGGCATCTCTGCACCATCTGCACAGCCTGAGAGAACAGAGGTTCAGGGAAGGAAGAGGGCCTGGAGGAAGGTCTGGGGGCTCGGGGAAGTGAGAAAAGAGGTGACATCTGCTGAGCAGATGTGCACAGCTTTAATCAGGACAGTGTTACCACCCACCCCACACCCACCCGTTCCAGAGAGGAAGAAGCCCGCACGGGGTCACGGGGCCGACTGCGGCACAGACATTGGAACTCGACCGCGCGTGTTCCCGGAGTCTGAGTCGTTTTGAATTATGTCACGCAGGGGCCTTCGGTGGGAGGAGGGACAGTCGTGACAGGGCACTGGGGTGGCTACTAGACAAGCCAAGCATTCTGGAGAGTTGCCCCTGTTACAGCCTGCACAGTGGGCCTCATTTTTACCTAAAGACCACTGGGCTCTGTTAGTTCGCTAGGGCTGCCATCGCAAAGTACCACCAATGGGGCGGCTTCAGCAGCAGAAAGGTGCTGCCTCTCCGTTCGGCGGGCTGGAAGTCCAAGATCACAGTGCTGGCAGCTGGCTCTGTCTGGGCTAGGAGGGAGGGTCTGTTCCAGGCGCTCCCCTCGCTCCTGGTGGCTTGCTGGCAGTCTGGGATCCTGGGAGAGGCATCACCCTGCTCTCTGCCTTCATATTCACATGGCGTTCTCCCTGCGTGCACGTGCCTCTGTGTCCACATTGCCCCTTTCTATCAAGACGCCAGCCATAAGGATCCGGGCCTGCCCTACCCCAGCAGAACCTCATCTCAACTCTTTATATCTGCAACAACCCCATTCCCACAAAAGGTGACACTCAGAAGTGCTGGGGGCTAGGATTTCTGCAGAGGAATTCTGAGGGACACACTTCAACCCACAGCACTCTCCAGCAATGAAGATGGAGAAAAACACCACAGCTCACTGGTACCTTGTTCTCACTGTCCAGGGACTCAGAGGACACCTGTGGGGCCCAGAACTGCCCTCAGCAAAACCCCAGCCCCTGCTGCTCTCAGTGGGTGGAGACAGAATGACCCACAGTGGGCGGGGCAGCCTCTGTCCAGGGAAAGGCAGGTGTCAGTGGCTGGGGAAGGGAAAAGCAGAGGGATGGGAGATGATGTAGGGGGCGGCACGGGGACCCCAGCAGAGAGATGTCCAAAAGCTCCCCCTTGCAACATCTCCTGCAATCTCAACCCAGAGGCAGTGCCGCAATAACATGGATGGAATGGGGAAGATGCCCCCACTGGGCTGGTCCGGGACTCTGCGCTGACCCTGCCCAGCAGCGTGCCCTGAGGAGCAGCCCTGCCTGTCCCTGTAGGTGCTCAGCCTCTGCAGAGCTGATGCTGCAAATGCTCCTCCCTGCCCAGGCTTAGGTTGTGGCGGCTCCTCAGCGATCAGCCCTCGTCCACCCAGCCAGCCTCCTGGAGTCTGGAATGATAAAGGTGACCCATAGTGTCAGTCTCGTTCCCAAAGCTGTACCAGCTATGACCAGCCCATCTCTGTGGGGCCCTGTAAAGCGCGGCCTGGGGCTGGACGTCGTAGGGGGTGAATGGCCCTGATGGCAAGGCCTCTGACCTGGTGCAGGGCAGCCCTTCAGCCCCCTGCAGGCGTCCGTTTCTCCAGAGCCCTGCAGAAGGGCAGCTGGCAGGCCTGAGGCCTCCACATGGCACGGCACCACCAGGACCCCAAGGTTGCTGCCCCGTATCCTCAGGATGTGCCATGCCCTTCTCGAAGGCTTCTCCTGGCCCTCCGCTCCCCGTGCCCAGCCTGCCTGGGGTTGTCAGTCACGTGACCTTCCCCCAGCATCTGCAGCCCTGGAGCTGTAAAAACAGATGGGCAGGGACTGGGGAACTCACCCTCACTCAGTCACATGCAGCCCCGGAGCCTCGGCCCTGGGAGGGGCAAGGGACAGAGATGAGGGGGAAGAGGCAGTGGAGGGGCTTTAAGCCTGGATCCCTACTCAGACGGCGGAGCCAGAAACAGCCATGGCGGAGCTGGGAGGAGTGGGTGTGGGGCGGAGGAAAAGGGAATTCCATGTTGAGTCCCAAACAGGTGCCCAGAGAACAGCAATGTGGAGGAGCCCAGCAGGTGGCTGGAGGTACCGGCCATAAGCAGAGAGCACCAAGCAGGTGGTACGGAATTCTGGAGAGTTCTGACATTTAGGGCGTGGAAGAAGAGGAGCCAGGAAGATGCAGGGCGTTGGAGGACCCCGGCCACCTGTCCCTCACACTGACAGCCGAGAGGCCCGTAGCGAGTCAGGCCATGGGGGCCTTTTCTGCTGTGGGAGCTCCTGCAGAGCCACTGAGCTACACGGGCCTTCCAGCTAGTTCTGCAGGCCCACTGTGCCTCCTCCAGCCTCTCGTGCCCTGGCCCTCTGGGCACGAGATGTGTCCCACCAAGTTCCCTCCAGCCTACCTCCCCCTCTTCCTCATCCCCATCCAAGCTGGGCCTTCTCCCCAGTGATGCCCTCCAAGCCTCCTACTAATATCGACTGCCCGTTCTCTGCCTCTCACTCAAACACTTGGATCTGGACAGAATGACACCCAGACAGTACCTCAGTACCCCTCCACGAAGTAGAGATGCATCCTGCTGCCACTCTCCCCAGTCCCCAGGGCTGCACACAGCCCCCCACACTTCCAGAGCTGTCCTCCCCACCTCCCATCGCACCATCCGGCTGGCAGCTCCTTGCTCGCCGCCTGGGATCCCCTTCCTCTCTGCTCCATCCCTAGGGACACCCTCAAGAATTCCAAATGCTGATGGCCCTTCCCTTCACCTTGACCACAGTGTCCTCAAACCACACCTAAGCTACCCACTCGGCTCTCCATGAACTTTGCGACCAGACGCACTCTGCTCCAGTGATGGGAACTGAGATCCCTCTCTGGCGGCAACGTCCTGACCCACCCTGCACAGAACCTGCTCATCAGACCCTTGGAAGCTCTGACCCCTGCCCCCAGATGGTCAGCCTCAATTTGCATCTCCCGGCCCCTTACCCAGTGTCATCTGCCCCCAGTACATCACTGCATGTGAGAATACAGCAGTGTGGAAAGCTGTAGAGGGCAAGGACTTGGAAGTGCCGCAAGAGGTGACAGTGACCTTGGAGAAGGAGAGGGATGGAGACGGGGAAGCCACACCCTTGGCCCTGGGGAGCGTATGAACAGCAGAGAACAGACGCCAGGGAGCCAGATGGCACCTAGAGGCAAACAGAGGACAGAGGGGAGGATATTTTCCAAAGAGGGAGAGCTGAGTATTCTGTACGCCAAGGGAAAGGGATGCATACATGAGAGAAAGACAGACTGAAGAAATACAGGGAAAACGGCAGGGTGGCTTCTTTGAGGAATGAGAATAACGATAATGGCTAATATTTAGTGAGGACTTACTATGTGCCAGGCCCTGTTGTAAGTTCTTAAATGTATTCAGTATAATGTTTGTAATAAGCAAACAAGGTAGGTACTATGATTTCCATGTTCTAGATGAGGAAGCTGAGGCAGAGAGCTCTAAAACGCTTGCCCGAGGTCAGCAAGGGGAGAATTGCCAGGCAGAAGAGCTGTCCGGGAAGAGGGAACCCTGGGATGTGGCTGGGAGCAGAGAGGGACAGAAGCGAGGACAGCAGCAGTTCTGAGAGGTCAGGAAAGGAAGACATGAAGTCATCTAAGGAGGAGGAGGGGCTGGGTGTGAGAAGGGTTTGAGAAAGAGAGAATCTGTTTACAAGGGGCTCTGTGTAATACAATCGGGAATGAATAACAGGCAAATAAAGGGTGAGGGTGTGGGCAGAGTCAGGTGACTCTGGGACTGATAAGGGGAAGTGTCCCGCTCATCTTCATGTCTGGAGGGCCTGGCGTGGGCATCTGATTCACAGAAGGGCCCCCAGAACTGTTAGTTTCAAATGGATGGATTAATGAAGGAAGGCATAAGAGATTCTAAAGCTAGATGGCAGGAATTTAGGAGAATGTTGGATGAAGGCAGTGGCACAACCGTTCAGAAAGGCAGGGGCGGGAGGAGAACGTGCCTCGGGCCCAGTCACTAGAGGGAAGTGAAGACAGAGAAGGTGAGGCAGAAAAGTTGGCTCCCCAAGCCCAGGAATCCACATCTGTGACGAAGTGCTCAGTGTGACAAAGACTAGGAAGGAAGGGGCCCAGATGGTGACCTGACCTGGGGATGCCCACAGCCCTCTGGACAACACCCTTCCTAGCGCTGGCCCTGGAAGGCACCCAGCCTCCAGTACTGGGGCTTGTAGAGGGAGCAGCTGTTCAAGCCCCAGTACTTGTCACAGGGAGCAGTTCAATTCTAGTGGGAGCCCCAGGACCCAACCAGGAAACCACAGAGCCGGCAGCCAAAGCTGGTGAGGACCCACATGCACCTGGCCCAGCTGGGCAGCCAGGCCCCAGCTCAGCTCCACAACCCTCCTCTTTCCCTGAATTTAAGGGAGCGGGGGTGGGGGGGATGGGGGAGGGTTTGTCAGAGTGAAGACAAAACCACAGAGGGTCACCTTCAGAATCGGCTCACTGTCCCCGACAGCCTCATGGCGCTGGAGGTCACAGGAGAGAGTGCCAGGACACATGGTGGGGTGTTTTCCGGGACAGCGAGCAGAGTGCAGCCAGGTGTGGGAAAGGCGGCAGGGAGGGTATGTGTGGAATTTAACCTTGTGTCCCCAGTTAGACTCCATCAATCCGCACCAGCGCCCTTCACCCTCATGGGAGGGGGTGTTCCAACCCAGGAGCCAGAGGTGGCAGAGACTCCGTGGACGTGGCTCACCCAGGCACGAAGGTGCTGGGCAGTATGACCCCCGGCTGCAAACTGTGTTACTTCTCAAGATCAGAAAAAGTGGAGCGCCCTCCCATTCCATGTAAGGGCCCCCACCTTTGGCTGTCCCTGATCGCTGTCCTACACAATGTGGCATGGATCTTGGCCAAGGCAAAAATAGTAATTGGCACGGTGACAGTGTGATGGGCCAGGCCCAGGCCCCGCCTGCAGGAGCCTGTCATGCTGAGGTGGGCAGCCCTTCTCAGATGTCACTGTGCCTGGGCTCACCTGGGAGCTCGTCAGCCACTGCATTTCTGACAAGCCCCCAGGGATCGCTAACGCTGCTGGTCCAAGAATCACACTAAAAAAAAAAAAGCGTTTTTATGATTTTTATAAAGAGATGAAAGCCACTGAGTTATTTTATCCTGAAAATGGCCATACAACAGGTGGCATAGCAATTTGCAAAGTATACACAGGTTCTATGCTAATACTTGTCCCGTCTTCTCCCTCTGTCACAGCGCTGAGCAGGGCCCGGGGACAGGCTTCCTGGAAGCAGCACAATAATGCTTACAGGTGCCAGGAGGGAGGCCCAGCTCCGCCACCTTCCATCGGTCTAGGGTGGAGGGAAGGCCAGGAGGCAGCAATATATCAGATTTCCACTGCCTTGAAAAAAAATGTACAGTGCACATACAGGTTAAGAATATAGGTTCTGGGGGCAGACAGTCCCAGTCCGGAGCTTAAATCCTGGTTCTCTGCATCTACACTGGAGAAGGCACTCAAACTCTCTGTGCTGCAGGCTTCCAAATATAAACAGGGCTGCCGAGAAAATGTTATGAGGTAATGCAAGTAAAATACTCAATACATTCAGATGAGATAAGGAAAGCCACAATGTCAAGTTCAGCGAGCAGCAGTGCAGATTCTCAATGCCAAACACACCAGCCTCCCCTGTGGTCTGCAGCAGCCAGTGGGCCCTGCAACTGGTCTACCTGGCTCTGCACCCACCACCAGGGTGGGCCTGGGCAAATCACTTCCCCTGCTGGGCGCTCGGTTCCTAAACCTATTAAATGGACGAATCGGCCAGAGGATTCTTGTCAGTCCTGAAAGCCTGCAGTTCTAGGCCAGGACTAGAAGCTTCCGGGGGGCGATCACTGAACTCCAACGATTGATGATGTCTCTTTAACTGCATTCCAAGTGCGTGATTACAACATGGATTTGCTGTTGTTGTTACTTGCTTTTGTTTCAAAAACTCACTTCTATGTATTGACAAAGCCTCACGATGGATCCAGTGTGGGGCATCTGGGTGGTTTCCAATTATGGGACCTCAGCAGTGTGCTGTGTGTGTCAAGGGTGGCGGGCGCGTAAGGCAACCACTATGCTTATTTGCTTTTGCAGAGTCCTTAGGTTTGTCCTATTTGGGTGTATGCAGATTCAGTTTTCAGGAAATAGGGGTGATGAGTCTCAGGCGTTTGCCTCCCCGTCAGCCCCCCTCCCTGGTGGTCTTCCTGGAGGGCTGCTGACACCTGCCCATCTTCTCTCTCCCTCTGGTGCTACTGTCTGAGCAGCTGTGCAGGAGCAGGAAGGAGGAATAGGCAGGGCCAGAAAAGTTCCCTGTGTCCCTGGGACTTCCTTCCCTCAGGCATTTCGGCATAAACACACGGAACCTCGTGGGAGTACAGCAGGAAGAAAAAGTGAGGAACCCTGAAGAAGGATCTCTCGGCTGGGCACGGTGGCTCACGCCTGTAATCCCAGCACTTTGGGAGGCTGAGGCGGGTGGATCCCTTGAGGTCAGGAGTTTGAAGCCATCCTGGCTAGCATGGCGAAACTCCAACTCAACTCCACAAAAATTAGCCGGGTGTGGTGGCGCGTGCCTATAATCCCAGCTACTCGGGAGGCTGAGGCATGACAATCACTTGAACCCCGGGGGAAGGAGGTTGCAGTGAGCCGAGATCACTGGGTAACAGAGTGAAACTCCATCTCAAAAAAAAAAAGAAGGACCTCTCCCAAACTTGCCCTCAGCCATAAGGCACCCCCCCTGCCAAGAGCCAACAGTGAGGTGCCAGGTCACATGTGGCACAGACATGGCCCCAGCCAGGAAGCCCTGCTCACCCCGTGAGATAAAGTTGCAAACTTAAGAAGCCATGTCTGCACATTTCTGCTGGCCAGCCGAATTCCACAAAGCCCCTGACTCTGTGACAACGCTCAACCCTCCGGAGGATGAAGTGAAGACAAAACAGGATAGAGCGCCCGGCCCCCAGCGTCTCTTCCTGAGTCACTATATTCCTTAAAAGATCCATGACCCTAGTGCTTGCCTTTTCCTACGCATAAGATCGCATCTGAAGGGGTCAGTGATGT
Organism: Homo sapiens; assembly: GCF_000001405.40. Lineage (NCBI taxonomy): Eukaryota > Metazoa > Chordata > Mammalia > Primates > Hominidae > Homo > Homo sapiens. The sequence goes on from NC_000003.12 coordinate 195,083,208, forward strand.
CGCTTCTGGAGTCTCTAACCAGATGCACCCTTGCACGTAAGCCTTGATAACCCCCTGCGTATACCGAGCCTGTCTACCTGTGTGTAAACTGTGAGCTGAAACAGTCTTGGGGCAGCCTGACAGAACCTCTCGAAAGACTCCTCCCAGGCTGGAGTCCTCAGGAAACTTCTGAATAAAACGAACTTAATTCTTTAAAAGCTTGACTTTTTCCTTTGGTCAACACCCTCCCTGCTGAGATGATCCCTGGGGCCTCTCCTCAGGCTTTCCTGACACCAGAGGTCCTTCTCCTCATCTCCTCCTCAGAAGTCAGGGTCATCCCTACATCCAGGCTGGCAATAAATATTTGTTCAAGCCTATTATGGACAAGCACCATGCCCAGAAAAATGACGAGGAGGAGGAGAAGAACACCTCTCCCCATTCACAGGAATCATTACCCAGCTATATGTACATTATCTCAATTCCTCACAACTACCTACGGTCAGTATTATTTCCATTTTACGGACGAGGAAATGGAGGCCCAGAGAGTTACTGCGCCTGGCGGTGCACAGTGGCTCATGCCGCTAATCCCAGCACTTTGGGAGGCCGAGGAAAGCAGATCACTTGCAGTCAGGAGTTTGAGACCAGCCCGGCCAACACAGCAAAACTCCATCTCTACTAAAAATACAAAAATCATCCAGGCGCGGTGGCAGGCACCCGTAGTCCCAGCTCCTCAAGGTGCTGAGGCAGGAGCATGGTTTGAACCCAGGAGGCAGAGGTTGCAGCGAGCCGAGATTGCACCACGGCACTCCAGCCTGGGTGACAGTGAGTGAAAATCGGTCTCAAAAAAAAAAAAGTGATGTGCTGATGGTCACACATTCTGCCTTTTGCTGCATTAACTCAGAAAGAGCTCATCTCCTGTGCTTTCACCAAGTTCAGAGCTGGAGTGAGAAATAACATCACAGAAAGGATTCCTAGCGGGCTTTGGTTCTCTGGGAAGGTCCGGCTGGTAAGGCAGAAAAGCAGAAAAGCAGAAAACAGGCTATGAGGTCTGAATTGCATCAGGCCAGTTCCAACCACAGAGCAGGCTGTGGGTGAGGATGGGAAGATGGCAGGGATCAGCTAGGCTGCTCCCTGCCCCAGGGATACTTAGAGGCAGGAGGCCCGATTCAAGTCAGGGCCCTGGCCCTAGACCCAAAATCTTCTCGCTGAAAAAAACCTATAGAGATCACCCAGGAAAATGGAGCATGGAAGCCACCTGGGCAAGGCTGCCCAGCTAGGACATAAAGTCCACCCTCGCTAGGGCACCACAAGACTGCCTGCAGCCTTTCCCACCAGCGAGATGGCAGCCTCAGTGTAATGTATTTCATGCAACCCAGATTTTGAGCAAAGTAAACCGTACTCTTTTCAGAGGTCCAATTCTTTCCCTAAAATACTTAGGTCAGCCCTTGCAGCCTGCTGTTCTTCACTTGCTGTATTTTAGTGAGTTAAACCACCCAAGGATGTTCTAGGCAAAACTCCCACCACTACACACGATCACAGGACTCCATCGGCCCCAGAAACCCAACCCCAGGGATTCATTCATTCAATTAGGCTTCAGGGTCCAGGATGTGAAGAGCACAGTGAATCACACAGACACCCTCATCCTGGAGAGCCCACTCTGATGGCAGGACCATTCTCCATGCTGGGGACAGTACACCTTGGCTCTTGGCAGGGGAGCTTCTCTAATGGTGCCCAAGACAGCAGCTCCTGCCAGTTGCAGAAGCTGAGGGTAGGAAAGGGAGGCCTAGCAAGGCAGCCACTTCCAGACCCTCGAAATGCCAAAAACCTCCAGAGTGTGTGGTTCATCTGAGCAGCCGCAGAGTCTTCACGTGGACGTAACCTTCTCCCAAGCAAGGATGACCCCCATGGGAGTTACAGTGCTCTAAATCCTCTCCTTGCACGAGGTCAAGTAGGAAAAGAAATGATTGCCATATGAAAGTTCAAGTTGGGGACAAAAGGGGCTGAGTGAGGTCCCTGGAGAACAGTTCAGAGGAGCACGGGCTTTGGAGAGAGAATATCTGGATTTGCCCTTTGGCTCAACACCCCTTCCGACCTCTCCAAACCTCTTGGGAATGGTGACTCAGTACCAGTGTCACAGTCCTGGTCCCCACCCCTGGCCCTGCCGCTCCGGCTCCAAGCTGGTTCAGAAAATACGCAACTCACCCAAGGTGTCCAGGTCTGGCATCTCTGCCACTCTCCCATCCCTGGTTCCCTAGAATGGAGCCTCCATCCCCATGTCTAAGCATGCCAGCGCATTTCACCAGAGACCGCGGTGGGAGGGGGGAGTCCACCCAGTTCTACTCGAGAAGCACAGCAGTGCGGTCAGAGAGAAAGGAGCAGGAGCTTAGCTCCTGTGCTCCCTCACAGCTCCAAGAGCCCAGTCATCCTGCGGGCCGCGGTGGGCAGCCGCGAGCCACAACCGTGTCTGGTGACAATCCTAGTAGAGTTCCAGACTGATGCGGCGAGACCACTCCATTCCACCAGGGGCTGGCCCAGAGTTTGGTTCAAAACCGTCAGGTCGCCACTAGCCTCACTGTCCTTCGACTGTGGTGACAGAGCCACTGCTCTGAGCACTCACCTCATACCCAACACAGGAAAGAGGTGCCTCAAAAGCTTGCTGGGCTAGCCTCCTCCCCCACCCCGAGGCTAGCCCCTGAGGCAGCTGCCCCCACTCACCTCTGTCCTCTGTGCTGTCAGGCCTTGCGGAGGCCAACACTCACTATGACTCGGTGGTGCCCGAGCTGCAGAAGACCCAAACTTGACTTTTCAAGCTTCTCTTTCAAGGACTGCCTGGGGCCTGTGGACAGGGGCAGCTGCATTAAAGGCCATTTGTACACACAGAGCACACCTGGGCAAAACAGACCTGGTTTCCAGCACCCCCAAACACCCAGCTTGCCCCCAGCCTGCCCCACAGCTGGCCGCGCTGTGTGCCTCGAAGCCTTACAGCTCAGCACTCTACAGCACTGTCCTTGCTTTTAAATTTTTCTTTTTTTTTAAGGGAAGAAAATCCACAAAACAATCTGTCCTTCTGACAGGCCAGCTCAGATTCCTATCGTGCTAGGTTGGATCAAGGAGCATCATTACGACGGCTTTATCAGAACTGTCTGCTTCAGAAAATAAACAACTTATCAAAGGTAGCCAGGTCTGGCGTCTCGGCCGCTCCCCTACCCCTGCTTCCCTGGAACAGAGGCTGTTTCCCTGTCTCCATGCATGTGAATGCATTTCAGCAGAGACCACAGACCTGTAGGGGAGAAGTCTATCCAGTTGTATTCAACAAACACAGTGGTTAGGGGCAGGGGCTGTGGGGTCAGAGGCCTGACTATGAGCCAGGGCCAGTTTAGGATGGGCCCTGTGAGGAAGGTCAGGGAAGCTGACCTTGCTGCTAAAGGGAACAAAAGGTTTGAAGCGAGGTATGAGGAAGGTCACTCTGGCTGGGTGGGCACTGGCATGGAGGAGGAAGGGCTGGAAGCAGCAAGACCAGGCAGGAGGATGCTTTGGTGATGGGGGGGAGGGTGGCAGTGCCAAGGATGGAGACAAGCAAAGGGTTTAGGAGATACTTAGCAGGTGTATGACTAGCTCTAAGAACGGATGCATGTAGGTGATGAAGGGGGACAAAGAGCTCCGGGTCCTGGCTTCTGTCTTGAGCATTCTGGCTATGGGGTCAGTGGCAGTGGCTGTTCTAATCATGATCAGTGACTTGCATGATGACACTGGCCAGGCCCCTCCCCGATACCTCCCACCTGTACCACAAGGAGGGAGAGTGGCCTCCTAGGCCTTCCCAGCTCCAGGTCGCCTTGGTGGCAGCACTGTGGTCACCTCCTCCTGCCTCGGTGCAGCTTCTCTAAACTCAGGGCAGGCTGCGGGGAGCAGTAAGGGGGCTGGGAGGCACTGCCCGTGTGGCCCGTTGACACGCCACCGTCTCTCCAGGTGGCCTGCAGCAAACCCGCCTTTCCTGCTCCTCTGGACACAGCCGGCCTTGCCCTTGCCAGGCTGCGTGTGGCCCTGGAGCTCCTCTTCCGCCCTCTTCCCGTTTGTACCCACTCTCCAGGGAGACATTTTTCCCCTTTAAACTGGAAATGTGCTCCCTGGCTCCTCCTCAGATCCCTTGTGCTTGAGTTGCTTCTCCAGGCCTTCCAGATAAATCTCTTGAAAATCTGCTGTGCTTGGGGTGCTCCCTGTGAAAGCAGAAAAGCATCTGAGCTACCCTCCCTGTCTCTCCCCACTGCGCGCTCTATTCAGGTATCAACACAGGTATGCCTGGAGCTGGTAGAGCACAGAGACAAGGCAGTCAGGCTCCCTGCACGCAGGGCCTGCAACTTCTCAGCTCTCTCCGGATAGGGCACTGGGGCCTGGGCTTACCCAGAACAGCCAACTGGAATTTGAATGAACATAAAGAGTGGAATTTTTAACAGCCAGATCAAAGCGGGCATTAAAATTAGATGCTACTGGAGGAGCCAAGATGGCCGAATAGGAACAGCTCTGGTGTACAGCTCCCAGCGTGAGCGACGCAGAAGACGGTGATTTCTGCATTTCCATCTGAGGTACCGGGTTCATCTCACTAGGGAGTGCCAGACAGTGGGCGCAGGTCAGTGGGTGCGCGCACCGTGCGCGAGCCGAAGCAGGGCGAGGCAAAGCCTCACTTGGGAAGCGCAAGGGGTCAGGGAGTTCCCTTTCAAAGGGAGTCAAAGAAAGGGGTGACAGACGCACCTGGAAAATCGGGTCACTCCCACCTGAATACTGCGCTTTTCCAACGGGCTTAAAAAACGGCGCACCACGAGATTACATCCCGCACCTGGCTCGGAGGGTCCTACCCCACGGAGTCTCGCTGATTGCCAGCACAGCGGTCTGAGATCAAACTGCAAGGTGGCAGCGAGGCTGGGGGAGGGGCGCCCGCCATTGCCCAGGCTTGATTAGGTAAACAAAGCAGCCGGGAAGCTCGAACTGGGTGGAGCCCACCACAGCTCAAGGAGGCCTGCCTGCCTCTGTAGGCTCCACCTCTGGGGGCAGGGCACAGACAAACAAAAAGACAGCAGTAACCTCTGCAGACTTAAAGGTCCCTGTCTGACAGCTTTGAAGAGAGCAGTGGTTCTCCCAGCACGCAGCTGGAGATCTGAGAACGGGCAGACTGCCTCCTCAAGTGGGTCCCTGACCCCTGACCCCCGAGCAGCCTAACTGGGAGGCACCCCCCAGCGGGGCACCTCACAGGGCCGGGTACTCCAACAGACCTGCAGCTGAGGGTCCTGTCTGTTAGAAGGAAAACTAACAAACAGAAAGGACATCCACACCAAAAACCCATCTGTACATCACCATCATCAAAGACCAAAAGTAGATAAAACCACAAAGATGGGGAAAAAACAGAACAGAAAAACTGGAAACTCTAAAAAGCAGAGCACCTCTCCTCCTCCAAAGGAACGCAGTTCCTCACCAGCAACAGAACAAAGCTGGATGGAGAATGACTTTGACGAGCTGAGAGAAGAAGGCTTCAGACGATCAAATTACTCTGAGCTACGGGAGGACATTCAAACCAAAGGCAAAGAAGTTGAAAACTTTGAAAAAAATTTAGAAGAATATATAACTAGAATAACCAATACAGAGAAGTGCTTAAAGGAGCTGATGGAGCTGAAAACCAAGGCTCGAGAACTACGTGAAGAATGCAGAAGCCTCAGGAGCCGATGCAATCAACTGGAAGAAAGGGTATCAGCAATGGAAGATGAAATGAATGAAATGAAGCAAGAAGGGAAGTTTAGAGAAAAAACAATAAAAAGAAATGAGCAAAGCCTCCAGGAAATATGGGACTATGTGAAAAGACCAAATCTACGTCTGATTGGTGTACCTGAAAGTGATGGGGAGAATGGAACCAAGTTGGAAAACACTCTGCAGGATATTATCCAGGAGAACTTCCCCAATCTAGCAAGGCAGGCCAACGTTCAGATTCAGGAAATACAGAGAACGCCACAAAGATACTCCTCGAGAAGAGCAACTCCAAGACACATAATTGTCAGATTTACCAAAGTTGAAATGAAGGAAAAAATGTTAAGGGCAGCCAGAGAGAAAGGTCGGGTTACCCACAAAGGGAAGCCCATCAGACTAACAGTGGATCTCTCGGCAGAAACCCTACAAGCCAGAAGAGAGTGGGGGCCAATATTCAACATTCTTAAAGAAAAGGATTTTCAACGCAGAATTTCATATCCAGCCAAACTAAGCTTCATAAGTGAAGGAGAAATAAAATACTTTACAGACAAACAAATGCTGAGAGATTTTGTCACCACCAGGCCTGCCCTAAAAGAGCTCCTGAAGGAAGCGCTAAACATGGAAGGGAACAACCGGTACCAGCCGCTGCAAAATCATGCCAAAATGTAAAGACCATCGAGACTAGGAAGAAACTGCATCAACTAACGAGCACAATAACCAGCTAGCATCATAATGACAGGATCAAATTCACACATAACAATATTAACTTTAAATGTAAATGGACTAAATGCTCCAATTAAAAGACACAGACTGGCAAATTGGATAAAGAGTCAAGACCCATCAGTGTGCTGTATTCAGGAAACCCATCTCACATGCAGAGACACACATAGGCTCAAAATAAAAGGATGGAGGAAGATCTACCAAGCCAATGGAAAACAAAAAAAGGCAGGGGTTGCAATCCTAGTCTCTGATGAAACAGACTTTAAAGCAACAAAGATAAAAAGAGACAAAGAAGGCCATTACATAATGGTAAAGGGATCAATTCAACAAGAAGAGCTAACTATCCTAAATATATATGCACCCAATACAGGAGCACCAAGATTCATAAAGCAAGTCCTGAGTGACCTACAAAGAGACTTAGACTCCCACACATTAATAATGGGAGACTTTAACACCCCACTGTCAACATTAGACAGATCAAGGAGACAGAAAGTCAACAAGGATACCCAGGAATTGAACTCAGCTCTGCACCAAGCGGACCTAATAGACATCTACAGAACTCTCCACCCCAAATCAACAGAATATACATTTTTTTCAGCACCACACCACACCTACTCCAAAATTGACCACATACTTGGAAGTAAAGCTCTCCTCAGCAAATGTAAAAGAACAGAAATTATAACAAACTATCTCTCAGACCACAGTGCAATCAAACTAGAACTCAGGATTAAGAATCTCACTCAAAACCACTCAACTACACGGAAACTGAACAACCTGCTCCTGAATGACTACTGGGTACATAACGAAATGAAGGCAGAAATAAAGATGTTCTTTGAAACCAACAAGAACAAAGACACAACATACCAGAATCTCTGGGACGCATTCAAAGCAGTGTGTAGAGGGACATTTATAGCACTAAATGCCACAAGAGAAAGCAGGAAAGATCCAAAATTGACACCCTAACATCACAATTAAAAGAACTAGAAAAGCAAGAGCAAACACATTCAAAAGCTAGCAGAAGGCAAGAAATAACTAAAATCAGAGCAGAACTGAAGGAAATAGAGACACAAAAAACCCTTCAAAAAATTAATGAATCCAGGAGCTGGTTTTTTGAAAGGATCAACAAAATTGATAGACCACTAGCAAGACTAATAAAGAAAAAAAGAGAGAAGAATCAAATAGACGCAATAAAAAATGATAAAGGGGATATCACCACCGATCTCACAGAAATACAAACTACCATCAGAGAATACTACAAACACCTCTACACAAATAAACTAGAAAACCTAGAAGAAATGGATAAATTCCTCGACGTATACACTCTCCCAAGACTAAACCAGGAAGAAGTTGAATCTCTGAATAGACCAATAACAGGAGCTGAAATTGTGGCAATAATCAATAGCTTACCAATCAAAAAGAGTCCAGCACCAGATGGATTCACAGCCGAATTCTACCAGAGGTACAAGGAGGAACTGGTACCATTCCTTCTGAAACTATTTCAATCAATAGAAAAAGAGGGAATCCTCCCTAACTCATTTTATGAGGCCAGCATCATTCTGATACCAAAGCCAGGCAGAGACACAACAAAAAAAGAGAATTTTAGACCAATATCCTTGATGAACATTGATGCAAAAATCCTCAATAAAATACTGGCAAAACGAATCCAGCAGCACATCAAAAAGCTTATTCACCATGATCAAGTGGGCTTCATCCCTGGGATGCAAGGCTGGTTCAATATACGCAAATCAATAAATGTAATCCAGCAGGTAAACAGAGCCAAAGACAAAAACCACATGATTATCTCAATAGATGCAGAAAAAGCCTTTGACAAAATTCAACAACCCTTCATGCTAAAAACTCTCAATAAATTAGGTATTGATGGGATGTATTTCAAAATAATAAGAGCTATCTATGACAAACCCACAGCCAATATCATACTGAATGGGCAAAAACTGGAAGCATTCCCTTTGAAAACTGGCACAAGACAGGGATGCCCTCTCTCACCACTCCTATTCAACATAGTGTTGGAAGTTCTGGCCAGGGCAATTAGGCAGGAGAAGGAAATAAAGGGTATTCAATTAGGAAAAGAGGAAGTCAAATTGTCCCTGTTTGCAGACGACATGATTGTATATCTAGAAAACCCCATTGTCTCAGCCCAAAATCTCCTTAAGCTGATAAGCAACTTCAGCAAAGTCTCAGGATACAAAATCAATGTACAAAAATCACAAGCATTCTTATACACCAACAACAGACAAACAGAGAGCCAAATCATGAGTGAACTCCCATTCACAATTGCTTCAAAGAGAATAAAATACCTAGGAATCCAACTTACAAGGGATGTGAAGGACCTCTTCAAGGAGAACTACAAACCTCTGCTCAAGGAAATAAAAGAGGATACAAACAAATGGAAGAACATGCCATGCTCATGGGTAGGAAGAATCAATATCGTGAAAATGGCCATACTGCCCAAGGTAATTTACAGATTCAATGCCATCCCCATCAAGCTACCAATGACTTTCTTCACAGAATTGGAAAAAACTACTTTAAAGTTCATCTGGAACCAAAAAAGAGCCCGCATCGCCAAGTCAATCCTAAGCCAAAAGAACAAAGCTGGAGGCATCACACTACCTGACTTCAAACTATATTACAAGGCTACAGTAACCAAAACAGCATGGTACTGGTACCAAAACAGAGATATAGGCCAACGGAACAGAACAGAGCCCTCAGAAATAACGCCGCATGTCTACAACTATCTGATCTTTGACAAACCTGACAAAAACAAGTAATGGGGAACGGATTCCCTATTTAATAAATGGTGCTGGGAAAACTGGCTAGCCATATGTAGAAAGCTGAAACTGGATCCCTTCCTTACACCTTATACAAAAATCAATTCAAGATGGATTAAAGACTTAAACGTTAGACCTAAAACCATAAAAACCCTAGAAGAAAACCTAGGCATTACCATTCAGGACATAGGCATGGGCAAGGACTTCATGTCTAAAACACCAAAAGCAATGGCAACAAAAGACAAAATTGACAAATGGGATCTAATTAAACTAAAGAGCTTCTGCACAGCAAAAGAAACTACCATCAGAGTGAACAGGCAACCTACAGAATGGGAGAAAATTTTCGCAACCAACTCATCCGACAGAGGGCTAATATCCAGAATCTACAATGAACTCAAACAAATTTACAAGAAAAAAACAAACAACCCCATCAAAAAGTGGGCGAAGGACATGAACAGATACTTCTCAAAAGAAGACATTTATGCAGCCAAAAACCACATGAAAAAATGCTCATCATCACTGGCCATCAGAGAAATGCAAATCAAAACCACAGTGAGATACCATCTCACACCAGTTAGAATGGCAATCATTAAAAAGTCAGGAAACAACAGGTGCTGGAGAGGATGTGGAGAAATAGGAACACTTTTACACTGTTGGTGGGACTGTAAACTAGTTCAACCATTGTGGAAGTCAGTGTGGCGATTCCTCAGGGATCTAGAACTGGAAATACCATTTGACCCAGCCATCCCATTACTGGGTATATACCCAAAGGACTATAAATCATGCTGCTATAAAGACACATGCACACGTATGTTTATTGTGGCATTATTCACAATAGCAAAGACTTGGAACCAACCCAAATGTCCAACAATGATAGACTGGATTAAGAAAATGTGGCACATATACACCATGGAATACTATGCAGCCATAAAAAATGATGAGTTACTGTCCTTTGTAGGGACATGGATGAAATTGGAAATCATCATTCTCAGTAAACTATCGCAAGTACAAAAAACCAAACACCGCATATTCTCACTCATAGGTGGGAATTGAACAGTGAGATCACATGGACACAGGAAGGGGAATATCACACTCTGGGGACTGTTGTGGGGTGGTGGGAGGGGGGAGGGATAGCATTGGGGGATATACCTAATGCTAGATGACGAGTTAGTGGGTGCAGCGCACCAGCATGGCACATGTATACATATGTAACTAACCTGCACAATGTGCACATGTACCCTAGAACTTAAAGTATAATAAAAAAATAAAAATAAATAAATAAATAAATAAATAAAATTAGATGCTACTTCAAGCCATTACCTGGGGAAAGTAATTAGACTCCTCCGAAAATAACAGCAGTTCTGCTGCCACTCCTGGAGCCTTTCTTCTGGAATTATCTGGCCGTCCTCCCGCTGCCCTTCTCCCCACAGCTGTTCAGGGTGCAGAACTGCCCACTGGGGAAAAGGTGCCCTGACTCCAAGCGCATCCAAACTAATTAGGAGCCTATCCTCCCCCAGCCCACGTCCGTGGAGGCGCCATACCCCCAAGGCCTGGTGCAGTCAAGGGGAGAGTGTCAGCTGCTCCCCTCGGGGACAGTGGCAGCTCCTCCTCCTCCTCCTCCTCTTCCTCCTCCCTGTGTGGAATTTCGTGGGCTGGCTTGCTGGGGAGGCCATGAAACATGAAATTCACAGCACTGGCCTCTCCTGTTCCTAGGTCTCAGACTGAGGGAAAAGCATAAAGAAACGCTGGCTGTGGACGCACCTTGGAAGGAGGCAAAGGAGAAAAGAAAGCAAGCACCCGACACAGCCCAGCGAGGCCCCAAGGAGGCCCCACGCCCCACTGCCTGTCTGCACTCTGCTGAAACCCACATCCACGCCCCCAGGCCAGCTGGCATCTTCCACGCTTCCCTGCTCTCTTGGGGCCTCCTCCCTCACGCCCTCAGTGTCACCTCGCCCTTTGCCCAAGACCAACAGACACCTGCCCACACGCATGCAGGCCCAGAGTGGCCCGACCAGGCTTCCTCGCCCCTTGTTCTGTCCAGACACAAAGCTGACATGGGAGTCCGGTCGGCAGACTCATCCCCACACCCTGTACAAAGCTGGACACCCGCGGAGACCTCCGGAAGCCAAGATCTAAGCGCTTCGATCCCACATTCACAAGCCCCCTCAGCGGGGATTCCCAGACGCACGCTTCTCCTGAGAGAGTCCAGCCCCTCCTGGCGGCCGTGGTCCCTGGATGCGGGTGCTCGAGGCCTGTGTGGGTAATCACGCTTCCCGTCTCCACGCCACCCTTCCCCCACAGAGTCGCCTGCCCTTCCACACAGACAAGGGGCCACAAGGCCGCACCTTCCCCTCTCCACACAGCCTGCGAAGGCATCGCAGATGCCATTCTGATTAGCAAATGCTGCCTCTGCTCCACCACGCACCTGTTCTGTGGCTCAGCTCTGCCACTGGCCCTCCAGAAGGTTTTCTCAGCTAACCCCACTGGCCTCCACCTCCCCTCCCAGGGTTCTCTCACATAAGAGTTACTAGATGCAGGGCAGTGCTTCCCAGACCTTACTGTGCGGGGGAAATGTGTGTCCGGGATCTGGTTAAAATGCAGACTGGGATTCCGCATCGCTGACAAGCCCCCAGGTGATACCAACGCTACTGGTCTGCAGGCCACACTTTTGAGTAGTGAGAAGGTGGAGGTAAGAGTGAGGACTCTGAGTCAGGGAAAGTGTGTTCTGGCCCCAGCTCCACCAGAACTAAGCATTACATCTCATGAGACTGCCGTGAGGGCTGCATGAGGTAATGCAGTGTCTGGCTGTCGCGGGAACGCAGCGTGCACTCGCAAATGCAAATTCTCTTCCTCTTGCTCCAGTCTTCTCCCTGTGGCGGTGGTGAGTGTAATGCCTCAGAAGACTCTGCCAGGGCATTAAACAAAGTCATACGCGAACCCCCCGGTGCACGGCAGGTGGGTGATGTGGGTTCTCCTTCCTTGCCTTCCACCATCTGGGACTGGGGCCAGCACAGAACCTGTGCCCCATATGGTCAGGGAAGGCAGGGGGACAGCTCCTAGAGCTGAGCCTTGCAGATGGGCACTCTTACAGCCGGGCCTCCACATCCAGTTTGAGTGCTCATGTGTGGTGTTGGGGAAAGGGGTCGTTCAGGTCACACTGGTGGGCAATTCTTCAGGGGACTTTGTCACCTGTGTGCTTATGCGTGAGCAACAGCGCCTGATGACTCTTGGGAAGAGCCACAACAAAGCGAGGGCCTGCAGGCGGCAGTGGCCAGGGAACCCTAGGTAAGGCCCTAACACGTGCGGTCCCCTGATCTGCGGGTGGGGCAGCCTTCACTGGAGGGGGAGTGAGTCTCAGTGAATCAGAGTGGGTACATGTGGAGCTGCAGGTCAGCAGCTCAACAGGGATGAGTAAGGTGCTTTCAGAGGCCACGTTAACCACATCTGGCTGGGAAGGAACCAGTTAGCAAACCTCTCTTTCCCTGCCCTGTTTCCAGCCCACAGGAACTCAAGCAGCTTCAGAGAAGGTCTTACTTGTTTCCGGGGAGAGGCCAGAGGCTCCGGGAACCCAATTCAATATGTAATATATAGCAGTGTCCACGCTATGGTCTAAGCAAAGGCAAGAGGAGAAATAAGGTTGATGGATGGCTCCATCCTTAGCACGCGTTTATGGACACCCACCCAGCCTTCTCCCAGCCGCCACGGCTCTCCACACACAGACAAAAGCAAAGCCCTTTGACCTTAAGCAGAAAAGTACACTGTCTCAACATACTTTTATAGAGTACCTGCTAAGCCTGGGGCCACCTAGGGGAGATTGGAGGGTCCCTCTAGCATGGCTGCAGCCCATGCACAGCAGGAGGATCTGTGTGGCCAGACGGGGAGGCTGGTGACAGTGGCGCAGACACAGCACTCAGAGGCCTCCAGGTGCGGAGAAACAACATGTGACGCAGACACCATGCTCTGTTCCCAGTGCGTCCCCAACACACACACGTATATATACACGACCATGCCCATGTGCACTTACATAATACACATGCACATACGCACACGTGTACGTAACAGACGCACATGCTGACAAACACACACGATACACACACACACACGCATACATTTCCTCGGCCTTCGGGAAAATGGAGTTCAACCTCCCATCTGAAGTTGAACTCGTTTCTTCAGAAGTGAGTCTGAGTCTTCATTTCTCAGGCACAGATGTGCAAGGAAACCATTCCTTCTCCTCCTCAGGCCTTCTCAGTGCCCTGGTAATATTTACACAGTTATTTAACAAGCAAGGCTGAGCTTTCCTTTCAACTGGCAATTAAAATCAGAACATAGAGACAAGCTTTGTAAAGCTTGGTTTCCATAGAGGATAATTTTCTTCCATGGGTTTAAAAAAATGAGAATCTTGACTGAAACTGTAGGTACTCACGTCAACAGTAATGCCCACTCAGTCTTCCAAATTGAGATAGAATGTGACTACCTTTTGCTGGAGGTTAGAAATAGTTCAAATTTGTATAATTTGTTTCCCAATTTAATAAGAAAAACAACAGGGGTGAAAATGGTCAGGCTGCGCTGAGCGCTGGGCAAAGGCAGGCTGTTCTGATTCCCGCCCAGCAGACCCCTCAGACGGGCTCCCCTGGCGTCCCTCTGCTGGGACTTCCCATGTCCCTGTTGTCTTGAAGAAAGGAACAAGACATATAGGCCGGTTCATTTTTAATCTGCTGCTGGTGTGGCCCAGTCCCCTCAACCAGACTGCTGGCAACTTTAAGTTGGAGACAGTTCTTGGAAGCAGGCTCAGTGCTGAGTTGGTTTTGACATAAGAATACATACACAGACAGACAGACAGAGAGATATACTGTAGCTGACATTTACTAAATGCCAGTCACCTTTTAAACAATTTATATCAATGATTTCATCCTCACTAAACTTTGTGACGCGGGTTACAGCAATGGCAAATGCGTATCAACACGTATCTAGCACCACGTGTGGGTTACAACAGCAGCAAATGCGTATCAACACGTAGCTAGCACCACGTGCCACCACATGCAAGCACTGTTGTGTTTATATCTGTGACCTCATTCAGCTTTCATAAACTTATGAGGTTGTTATTATCATGATCCCCACTTTATAGACAAGGAAACTGAGGCTTACAAGGGTTAAGGAATTGAGTCAAAGCCCCCCAGCTAGTAAGTGGTGAGGTCTGGATTTAAACCCAGGCAGCCTGGCCTGGAGCCCCCACTGATAAGACTGTCCTCGGCTGCCTCTCAGTGCATGGCGAGCACCCTGTGAACAGTCGCCAAGATAAAACCCAGCCCTGAGCACCTCCGCTGGGACCACACAACTGCTTCTGATTCTCCGGGGGAGTGTGAGTGGAGAAAAGACCCTCACACAAATGCCCCCACCCCCCCACCACGCACACACAAAGAAGTCAGGCTGGGCAGGAAAGACGCTTCAAACCAAATGTCTGGACAAAGAAAAGATGAGACTGGTGGAGGGGAACCGAGAAAGGCTCATGGAAGGTACTGTGGTGGTGAATAAGGAAGGACCCACAGAGTCCCACAGTCCCAGCAGTGGGGCGGGTCGGGAGGGGAACAGTGTGCTTCTGGGCCTAGGGGCAGCAGAGAGTGGCGGAGGAGACAAATGTGCATGATTCCACACACAGGAAATACCAAGAACAGGCACGCTCACAGGCAGGTTAGAGCTGGGGAGAGGCAGGAAATGGGAAGTTATTATTGAATGGGTACAGGGTTTCTGTTTGGGGTGATGCACATATACGAGAAACGGTGGTGATGGTTGTACAACATTGTGAATAGAATTAATGCCAGTGACTGTACACTTCAAAACGGTTAAAATGGAGCCAGGTGCAGTGGCTCACGCCTGTAATCCCAGCACTTTGGGAGGCTGAGGCGGGTGGATCACGAGGTCAGAAGATCGAGACCATCCTGGCTAACATGTTGAAACCCTGTCTCTACTAAAAATACAAAAAATTAGCCGGGCGTGGTGGTGCGCGCCTGTAGTCCCAGCTACTTGGGAGGCTGAGGCAGGAGAATGGCGTGAACCCGGGAGGCGGAGCTTGCAGTGAGCGGAGATCGTGCCACTGCACTCCAGCCTGGGAGACAGAGAGAGAGACTGTCTCAACAACAACAACAAAAGGTTAAAATGGCGAATTCTGTGTTATGTATATATTTGACCATAATCTCTCTTCACAGTGGCAGAGGAGGTGAAGCCACGGGCCTTGATGCTGTCAAGGTCTCGGGAGCCCTCCTCGCTGCGCTGGCCCCTGCTGCAGAGCCCGTCATCAGAAGAAAGTGATTTTTTTCCTATGGGTTCTGACAGTTAAGGCCCTGGTGCCTCTTGATGGCAATCAGAGGGACTGGAAAACTCACTCTCTGCCTCATTCCAACACTACCTACGGGTGGGACCCTCCCTGGGCCTCCTGGCCTGCAGCCTGGGGTCTCCAAGCTGCCTCAGGGCTTTCCGTCCCATGTTCTGCCCGAGCCCTGAGCGGCCCTGTTGACTTGGGACATGTGCCCCTTGGCTTGGCAGGGCTGCTGCTTCTCCCTTTCCATCTCATTGCTTCAAGCACAGACCATTCCACAATCACAATGTATTTACTTTCCAAAGCTGTGGATACCAAAGGAAAAACTGTGGTAGCAGAGTACGGTGTAATTAACGTGGAATGTACCAGGGGAACCGAGGACATGGCAGACAGACACCGCGTTCTCAAACAACCGCTTGCTGTTGAAGAGGGTCTATTTTCTCCTCTCCCTCTCCCTTCCCAAGAGATTAAAATAATAAACTCTAAGAAATAAATAAACGTGCTCAGCTTCACACATACGAGGTTGACCCTGGCGCAGGTGCGTGGACTCACGTGTGGGGTAGCAGCTGGACAGCCATGATCTGTGTCCATCACCACCCAGGCATCATGACCACAGAGAGACATATTTAGCACACACATTACAGTGCCTCCCAAACCAGCACCACCATCTGGGGCCTGTGCTGTCAGCCTGGACGCAGTCAAGTCAGCTGAAAGTAAAATCCATTCTCCATAATAAAGGTGTTCACAAGCCCCTTTCCCTGTGCAAGTTAGCAAAGACAGAACCATCTGACGAAGAATTAAATGCAGTAACTGGGCTGGGCGCGGTGGCTCATGCCTATAATTCCAGCACTTTGGGAGGCCGAGGCGGGTGGATTACGAGGTCAGAAGATCAAGACCATCCTGGTTAACACGTTGAAACCCCGTCTCTACTAAAAATACAAAAAAATTAGCCGGGCGTGGTGGTGGGCACCTGCAGTCCCAGCTACTGGGGAGGCTGAGGCTGCAGAATGGCGTGAACCTGGGAGGCGGAGCTTGCAGTGAGCTGAGATCGCGCCACTGCACTCCAGCCTGGGCGACACAGCGAGACTCTGTCTCAAAAAAAAAAAAAAAAAAAAATGCAGTAACTATATTTGAATCTTGTTCAGTGTAAAAGTTCTTAAGAAAAAGTTGTTTCTAAAGTGTAGCTTCAGTCAATAATTGGGATCTGTTTCTCACTGGGCACAAAATGGAGGGAGAAGAGAAAAATTCTCCCTGTCTTACTTAAAAAAGAAGACAGACTAAATAAAGTACAATAAATATCTATAGAATAAAGTAGTGGAAATTTGGAACTTCCAAATTTGCAAATCTGGAACTTCCAGTCCCTGCATAAAGCTGTCTGAGATCCTGCACCTGAAACCAATCTCCCCGCCACCACCGTTCCCCCTGCTTCATGCGACAGGCAAGGAGTGGCCCAGCCATGTCTGTCCCTCCTTTATTCATCCTCTGTGGATGTCTGACGGCCAGATGGACAGGGCTGGTTTCCTACTGGTCTCCGAATCTCCTGCCTCCACACCTAGCATGGGGTCCTATCTGGGAAAGTGTGGCCTATATGGCATGGAAGCCAGGTACAGCAGGAGTTTTACCCACCAGAGCACCGGACAGTGTGCTTTGGCCAGGACAAGGAGGGACACATTTAGCACACACATCACAGCGCCTCCCCCAGAAGGCAGGCATCTGCAGAGTCTTCTGCCCTGGCATCAGGCTAATGTCATGCTCCTCAGTGCCTATAGAATTAACGTCACCTTAGCCCAACACATAAGGCTCCCGGTGATGTGGCCTCTACCCCTGCCAGCCTCCTCCTCCTCTCTCCCTGGCACTCTCCCCGGCACTCTCCCCTGTACTCCACCCAGACCCAAGTTCCTGGGCCTACACACGCTACCCTCACTGAGGCTGTGGTGCCCTTCTCCCTCCTCGTCCACCAGAAAACTTCTTGTCACGAAAACCCAGCTCACAGGCCATGTCCTTTGTTCAGCTCCCTCCTCGCCCCCAAGCCTTGGACTATGTCTATGGTTGTGGGGTTTATACTGATCCTACATCCCTTTCTGTCCTATTAAACTGTGAGTTCTTTGGGGACAGAGACTGTGTCTTTTTATATCGGATATCCCTGCTGCCTAACCCTGTGCCTGGCACAAAGCAGGGACTCAGTCCAAATTTACTGAAGCGAACTAGTCTAGACAGGTATACTTTCACTGTCCAACTGCAAGGATATAACTAGCCTTTTCCAAGACAGCTATAGGTTCCACAGAGCGGCCCACAGCCAAGGCCTCTGCCAGTCTCTGTGAAGGGCTTCTGGCGCAATCCCAGCAGCTCCCCAGCCTCACTGCTGTAATCCACAAAGCACCTCCCAGCACGTGACAGTGAGGCTATGACAAGTACATAATATGTCACCTTCAGAGCCGCCAGGCCTCTTGCCAGTGCTATGCCGTCCTTACGGCGCTTGGGCAGGTACCCCCAGCTTGAATGTTCGACTTAATTGATTGGGAGCAATTAAGGAGAACATGTACTAGTTAATTAAACACTGTACCCCCACTGCCACCTTCATCAAAATCTCTTAAATCACATTAGGAAAAAACAGAATCTCTCTGGCTGGTTAGTATCTTTACTCTCAGGGCATCATGATGATGAAATGGGTAAACACATCCTCTTTTGCAAAACCATTTCCTTCCCATTTATTACTTTTTCTAGAAATGCACACAACTGCTATCACTTTCATAAATATTTTAAAACATTAGTAAGTCCCAGGGACATTCCTTTTGTATACTACATATTTCAGTGAGATTTGGATAAAATATGGCAGTTATACATGTAGCTCTAATTAACATATTTCCTGAATGAAAATGATAACATCTGGCCCCTTTTAAAGATGAAATATATGAAATTGGGATATAGCAAAAAATACATCTGAGCCGGGTGCTGTGGTGTGTTCCTGTTATCCTAGCTACCTGGGAGGCTGAGGCAAAAGGACTGCTGGAGCCCAGGGCTTTATGTCCAGCCTGGGAAATGTAGCGAGACCCTATCTCTATTGAAAAAAAAAGGGGAGAGGGGAAGGGAGGGGAGGGGAGGAGAGGGGAGGGAAGAAAGAAAAAGAAAGTAAGGAAACAGAAAAAAAGGAAGAAACAAAGAGGAACGGAGGAAAGGAGGAAAGGAGAAATGTAAGGAGGAAGGGAAGGGAAAGGGAGGGGAGGGGAGGGGACGGGGGAGGGAGGGATGCGGGGAGGGAGGACAGAAAGAAAGTAAAGAAACAGAAAAAAAGGAAGAGAGAAAGAGGAAGGGAGGAGAGGAGGAATGGAAGGAGGAAGGGAAGGGAAAGGGAGGGGAGGGGAGGGGGAAAAAGAGAATTGTCTGGTATATCTGAGTCTATGTTTTCCAACAGAATAGAATGAATGTCTTCTGAATTCTATGTAAGATATACAACATGATATTTTGAAATACACAGGTAGTGAAATGGTTACAATAGTCAAGCAAATTAACATATCCATCAATTCACATTGTTACTCATCTTTGTGTGTGTGGCAAGAGCACCTAAAACAAACTCTTTTCGCAAAATTCATGAATACGATATTATGGATGATAGCCCTCATGTCACACATGAACCCTCTAGACCCGTTCATCCCACACGTCTGCTACGCTGTATCCCCTGACTGGTATCTCCCCATTTCCTCCCTCACCCTCGCCGTGGCCACGGTAACCATCATTTTCTTCTCTACCGCTGTGTATTCAGCTTTTCCTCTTTTTAAAAAGATTCTACATATAAGTGAGATCATGCGACATATTTTTTCTCTGTGTCTGGCTTATTTCACTTAGCAATAATGTCCTCCAAGTTTCATCCACGCTGTGGCAAATGGTATGACTCCTTCTTTTTAAAGGCCGAGTAATATTCCGTTTTGTGTGTGTGTGTGTGTGTCTTGTATGTTACAATTTCTTTCTCTATTCATCTATCAACAGACATTTAGGTTCTTTCCGTATCTTGGCTACTGTGAATAACGTTGCCGTGAGCACGGGAGAGCAGTTATCTTTACGAGGTAGTGATTTCATTTCCTTTGGGTCAATGCCCAGAAGAAGGACTGCTGAGTCATATAGTAGTTCTAGTTTTATTTCTTTAGGAATTTCCATATTGTTTTCCATCATGGCTGTACCAACCTACATTCCTACCAACGGTGCAGCGTGCTGGGGCTCCCTCTTCTCCACACCCTCGCCAACAGTGGCTATCTCTTGTGTTTTTGACAATGGCTATTCTATCAGGTGTGAAGTGAGAATGACTGTTTTCTGATTTTGCCAGATTTTTATATGTCTAAGGAATCAACCCCGTACTGCCAGCCTGCACTGAACGGGGAGAAGTGGCGGCTCACGCTAGTAACAGTCAGTGCTGTGGGGGGCAGATAAAAGGGAGCCTAGGAACGCTGGACGGAAATGCTGATTTGCTCCAGATAACAGACTGGAATTCCAGGCCATGAGGCTGGGCCTAGTTTAGTTAATGCTGGGCCACTGGTGGTTCTGTGACAGAAAAACAGGAGTGCAGGAATGCACCCCCACACCAGCGACCTGCGTCCATCACCCCACGCCAGCGACCTGCGTCCATCACCCCACGCCAGCGGCCTGCGTCCATCACCCCACGCCAGCGGCCTGCGTCCATCACCCCACGCCAGCGGCCTGCGTCCATCACCCCACACCAGCGGCCTGCGTCCATCTCTTCTGCATTTGTTAGAGGCTGCATGGGCCTAAATCACACACACTCAGAACCTAGAAAGAATCAGTGTAGGTAAAACAAGAGAGAAATTAATTTTAAATAGGAACATGTTCTTTGTCTTTTGAAGCCTTTTAAAGGCCCTTACATTCACTGTCGCTGTGCCTTTACCTAGACTCAGATAAATGACAGAAGAGGTGCTGTTCTGTGAGACCTTTAGAATCCATCAAGGGGAAGTCACTGGGCAAGAGGAATGAAATTCAGGCCCTGAGAAACTAGGGAAAAAAAAATTAGAGAAACAATGCAATCTTGTCAGGTGACCAATTCCAAGTGTGTCCTTTGACCTCATGGAATAAAAGACAGTCCCTGGCATAACTAGCTGAAAATACTAGCTGGGGTCATATGCTTCTGATTACTGAGAAAGGCCAGCACAGGCTGAGAGTCCCTATGCTCCTGCCTAACCCTGTGGCCTCTCCAACGAGGGGAGAAAGGTTTGACGCACTAGAAGTTCATCACTTTAAGTCTGTTGTTTGGAATTCTGAATACATTTTCCTATAACAACTATTTCCAACTGGTGTTTGGGCGCCTTTTTAGACATTACATACAGATGGACCCACAGTTTAGAATGGGAGCAATGGGGAAAGGAAAATGGGAGGTCGGGCCCATGAAATCTACTGATGAGTAGAAGCCCTTTGGGAGCACACACCCACTGTGACGGTGATGACGGTGATGAGGGCTCCGTGTGTGTGTGTGTGTGTGTGTGTGTGTGTGTGTGTGTGTGTGTGTGTATTTTATGAGAGGGCAGATGCCATGAGAGGAAAACGAGGCTCTAGGAACAGAAACAGAAGTATGAAGAAGTGGTTCAAAGACAAGAAGTAGCAAGCAGAGGAGATGGTTCTGAGTCCCAATCATTCCTCAGCTTAAGTTCTTCTTTCTACAATACTTCACTTCCCAGGCAGCAGTGCCCAGGTGAGCAGTTCCCTTGCGGGGAGGGGGTGGGGCAGCAGTGGACTCATGCTGCCTGCTGGGAAAGGGTATGTGAGATTCAGCTGCTCACACGACCATGTGTTCACTGAGCAGGGGATCACAACCTCAAGCTCCCAGAGAGCAAGGCAGTGGGGACGAGGCGGGGACCCGGGAGATCCAGACAGCGTGGCACGACCACCTGAGAGAGGCTGCTGCTGTTCAGCTGAGGCCAGGGGTTCTGGAGAAAAGGCAGGCCTAGTATCATCCTGACTTCTGAGTTTTAAAGGAAAGCTACGGAATACCTTGATTTTAAATGTTGGCAACTAATACAAAGTAACAACAACAACAAAATGCTACAGGCAAAAACAAAAACAAACAAAAAAAACCCCACACCAAAAACCCTCTTCTGTCTGGTCTGTGGAATATCAGTTTGCAGTCCCTTTCCCAGTGTCTACAGTTAGAATAAACCATTTGGTTCTTTGATTCGCAAGTCTAGCTACAAGCCAGAATCACTTTGGGTACATGGTCAAAACGCAGCTTTGGAGACCAACAGTATTGGGATGCCTGGGACAAGGCCTGAGAGCCTGTCTTTTGAGGTGCCCTGGGGATAGTGGTGTGGCTGCGCCGCATTTGGAAACCACTGGCTGGTTTGTATTTCATCCATATAACCAACTGCTCACTAGTGTTTCACACCTCCAGTTCATAATGGTCAAATACTATCACAAGAATGATAAAACCACAAAATATGCTGACCCCATGGATAGGAAAGAGGTGAATGTCAAGGGGACCTGGGACACAACCAAGTGTGTCAAAGTGTGTCTTATCTAAATGGTTTATGAAAAATTAAAACTCTATAATATATAAGCATATGTTTTAACAGACGAATTTTCCCTCTACTAAATCTTTGAGTAAAACTGACTCTTCAGGAAGATGCAGTAAGCTTTGATCCTGTGACTGGAGAGTACAGCTGTCCCCAGGATATTCACCAAAGTTTAAGAGAAACAGACATATCTACACACCGTATCATCATCTCGTCTGACTTACGCCCAAAGGCAAAGGGCCACGTGAAGTCCACAGCAGGACTCAAGTGCAAAGTCAACAGACTTTTATTTAAACTTCTGTTCAAAGGTATGTGAGTGTTGAAAGTGTGTCAGATGGTGGAGAAAATGACATAACAGGAAATTGTCGTTTAACAACAGAGTCCATCCCTGAATGCTGCAGCCAAGTCTGCGCCTCCGCGTCCACTCACGGGGCCACCGAGCAGTGATTTGGAGACCTGTTTCAACTATCAGCGGGGGCCAAGGGATCCCTGAGCCAGACCTACACCATGGCAGAGCCCCCCAGGTCATTTTCCCACCGTCGGTGAAACTGTGAGGAAACCATGGTATTATTCCTGGCCTCCCTGCGCTTCCCTCTCTCCTTTCCTGGTGACGTTTCCAGCTGTCACCAGCATTCCATGGCATACTTCTTATTCCCCACCTTCCCTTACTCTCATATCATCACTTCTTAGTAAGACTAAAGCCTTCCCCTTTCCTGTATTATTTACTTCTGATTAATGTCGGCAGCATTTCACCGGCGCGTAGCATTTAACTATTGACTTGAACACCATAGGTATTGCTTCTTATGGAAAAAGAATACTTTAAATTAAACGTGGTCTCTTTATCCAAAAGTGCCCAATTTGTTATGATTAATAAAGTTACCAATCAATAAAGTTACTTCATATGATCACTCTGAAAAAAACAATAAAACCTCTTTGTGGAAGCTCAATACACTGCCATTCTGTCATTCACTAGTGTTCTCGACGGAGAGGCGCTCTTGCTGTGCTGTGTCGTTTTTGATGGAGAGATGCTCTTGCTGTGTTTTTGACGGAGAGATGCTCTTGTTGTGTTTTTGATGGAGAGATGCTCTTGTTGTGTTTTTGATGGAGAGATGCTCTTGCTCCGCACTCCCACCTAACCCTCACCCCCAACCCCCTGAAAGGTTCTGGCCCCAGCACGGCCCCGCACACACCCTCTCTCACTGGACTTGCCCCTTCCCTTCTCCCGGGCCTCACGGCGGTGTCTACGCCGGGCTCGCTGGAACCTTCCAGGGCTCGGTGATTCGGGGCTGCGGTGGGAGGGCCCTGAGTTCTTAGACCCGCGTGCAGATCCGGCCGCGACACAGGCGAGACCCCTGCCGGCGAGGCGCGGAACTGCAGGCACGCCGCGGCAGGGAGGGCCGCAGAGCGGGAGGGGCCTGGGGCGCCCCCAGCAAAGAAGCTGGGGTGGGGGGCTGGCCACCCATCAGGTCATCAGGAGCCAAGTCCTCTTCCACACTTCTTTCACCACTGTCTTCAGCTGCCACCTCTGTCTGCCTCAGGACCATCAAGCTGTCTGGCTTCCGTCCTAAGACCCTGAGACAGAATGGAACCCTGGGCACTTACCCTCCTAGGCCAAGGCCAAATTCTCCAAAACACCCCCTAGAGGTGGGGGTGACGGGGGGAGGAGAGTAGACACTTGGAGCCCTGGACATCGGGCCAAGCATCCCACAGACGACAGATAAACGGCTCCCGGATGGTAATACAATCAGAGGCTCCACAGAATCTTTTTCTGTTGGCAATGGGATTAGAAAATAAAAATAAATCCCAAACACACACAGGCACCTGCCCTTTGCCTGGTGGAATGGAGAGCTCTCGTTTTGTTTTGCCCAGAACGACTTTCATTTACAGCTTCACATTTTCAGCAAGACGAAAAGCTGAGTCCAGACGCCCTTCAAAAAGAAGAGAGGTGGCCGGGTGCGGTGGCTCACGCCTGGAATCCCAGCACTTTTGGAGGCCGAGGCGGGCGGATCACCTGAGGTCGGGAGTTCGAGACCAGCCTGACCAAGATGGCGAAACCTCGCCTCTACTAAAAATACAAAAATTAGCCGGGCATGGTGGCGGGCACCTGTAATCCCAGCTACTCAGGAGGCTGAGGGAGGAGAATCGCTTGAACCCAGGAGGTGGAGCTTGCAGTAAGCCAAGATCATGCCACTGCACTTCAGCCTGGGCAACAAGAGCAAAACTCCGTCTCAAAAAAAAAAAAAAAAGGAAGAAAGGAGGAGGAAGAAGAAGAAGGAGGAGGAAGGAGGAGGAGGGGGAGGAGGAGGGGGAAGAGGGGGAGAGGAGGAGGGGGAGGAGGAGGGGGAGGAGGAGGGGGAGGAGGAAGGGGAGGAGGAGGGGGAGGAGGAGGGGGAGGAGGAGGAGGAGGAGGAGGGGGAGGAGGAAGGGGAGGAGAGCCACAAGTGCCAGGGGGGCAAACCTAGCAAGAACAGTCAGTATTCTCCGCACTGTGACCCCGTCCTCCCTGCGCTTCTGGCGGGGATCCAGCCCCTCAGTGTTCGGAATCCTCATGGCCTCATGAGGCCAACTTGGTAGAGACACCACCTCCTTTCTTAAATGAGGAAAATGGAGACTCCCACGTGGAGGCATCACCCGCCCAGGCCTCCGCACAGTGGGGCCCTTCTTCCAGTCAGCTGCTGGCCAGTGCTGAGGAGGGTCCCTACACACAACACAACCCATTTTATCTGGCCAACACAACTCTGATGCCATTCGGCTCTCATGCAGTTGAACCGTGTCAGATGAGAAGTGGCTGGAAACCTCCCTCTAGCTGTATGCATCTCCCACCACTCCCCATAGGGGGGTCTGGCCTTTCATCTTACAGAGAGACCTAGGTGACCTGCAGAGGCAACCCTGGGTCACCTGAGCTGCAAGTCCCAGTTCTGGGCCTGGCCTGCAATGTTCATATATTCTTCCATCCATTCTTGTTTTTCTTTACTAAACATAACTGCATGTTACAACCAGCTAGGCATAAACATTAATTAGAAACGCAAACCACCATACTGATAAAAACATGCAGAAATCCTATGAACCAGCGGCGTAACTGGGAACTTTCTCAAGAGCCTTTGACTCTTATCAAACTGCTAACTCTTGTTTTATTTGAGACTTAGTAGCATCTTCCTAGTTTTTTAGAAAATTGATTTCCTGTCTGTAAAATACACATTTGGAGTAAAAAATCTGGAAAACTTTACAAATCGTAAAGAAAAAACAACACACATATACAGTCACGCATCGCTTAACAACAGAGTTTGCTCTGAGAAATGCATTGTTAGGTGATTTCGTCTTTGTGTGAACACACAGAGTGACTTCCACAAACCTAGATGGTATTGCCCACCACACACCTGGGCTGTATGGTACAGTCTGCTGCTCCTAGGCTACAAACCTGCATGGCATGTTACTATACTGAATACTGTAGATGCCTGTAACACAATGGTATCTGTCTATCTAAACATATCCAAACATAGAAAAGGTACAGTAATAATATGGTATTATAATCGGACGGGACCACCATCATATATTGACCAAAATGTTACGCAGCATGTGACTATAACTCAATTTCACTCTCCCCCTCCATGAAGCTAGAAAGTAAATCCAAGGATGTCCTTACAACACCCTACTGGTAACGTCACGTCCCACACAGTGGCTAGAAATAATAATTAAGGCAGCTATTATCTTGTGAGGTAAGCACTACTTCAGAGCTTTACCTGTATTTTCTTTAGTTCTCACGAAAACCCCAAAGGTATTATTATTTCCAATATATTGATAAAGCAGTGAATTCTCAGGAAAGTGAACTCGAAAGGGGCAGAGCCAGGACTGTTAATCACCCAGTCCCACTACCCCCAAAATTCATGCTCAGCATTCCTCCAGATACTCTCTCTTCGTTGCTTGCAGATCTCCACTCTTGAACAGGAGCATCATTTTATGAAGGAGGGCACAGGCAAGGTACTTCCACAGCAGAGGCCGACAGCCCAGCAGCGCCTTCACTATAGCTGAACACCTTGAGGCACACTCTCGAGAAGGCGGAATAACCAGGCCTGGCTCTCCCAAGCCAGCAGCGTGTGTGTGCGTGTATGGTGTGTCTGTGTGTGGCATGTGTGTAGTGTATAAGTGTGCATGTATGTGTGCATGTGTATGGTGTGTGTGTTGGTGGTGTATGAGTGTGTGGTATATGTGTGCGTGTATGTGGTATATGTGTGCATGTGTGTGTGAGGTATGTGTACGTGTGTGGTGTATGAGTGTGCATGTGTGTGGTGTACATGTGTAGGGGGTGTGTGTGTGCATGGTGTGTGTGGTTGTGTGGCATATGAGTGCACGTGTGTGTGGTGTGTGTTGTATGAGTGTGTGTGGTGTCTGTGTGGTGTGTGTGGTGTATGTGTGCGTGTGTGTGGTGTGTGTGTTGTATGAGTGTGTGTGGTGTCTGGTGTGTGTGGTGTATGAGTGTGCGTGTGTGTGGTGTATGTGTTCAGGTATGTATGTGAGTGTGGGGCTGGGTGTGTGTGTGGTGTATGTGTGGTGTGTGTGGTGTATGAGTGTGTGTGTGGTGTATGAGTGTGCGTGTGTGTGGTGTATGTGTGCCTGTGTGTGTGGTGTATGTGTGCATGTGTGTGGGTGAGGTGTGGGTGTGTGTGGTGTGTGTGGGGGTATATGTGTGTGTGGTATATGAGTGTGCGTGCATGTGTGTGTGTTGTGTGTATGTGTGTGGGTGGGGGTGTGTGCATGGTGTGTGGTTGTGTGTGGCATGAGTGTGCATGTCTGGTGTATGTGTGCGTGTGTGTGGTGTGTGTGGTGTCTGGTGTGTGTGGTGTATGAGTGTGCGTGTGTGGTGTATGTGTGCATGTGTGGTGTGTGTGTGTGTGGTGTGTGTGGTGTCTGTGTGTTGTGTGTGGTGTCTGAGTATGTGTGTGTGTGGGTGAGGTGTATGTGTGGTGTGTGCGTGTGTGGTGTATAAGTGTGTGGTGTGCGTGTGTGGGTGAAGTGTGTGTGGGTGTGTGGTGTGTGTGGGGTGTATGTGTGCGTGTGTGGTATATGTGTGTGTGGGTGAGGGTGAGGTGTGTGTATGTGTGTGGTGTGTGGTGTATGTGCGTGCGTGTGTGCTGTATAAGTGTGTGTGGTGTGTTATGTGTGTATAAGTGCGTCTGTGGTGTATGTGTGCGTGTGTATGTGGTGTAAAGTGTGTGTGGTGTGTGGGTGAGGTGTGTGTGTATGTGGTGTATGTGTGCATGGTGTGTGGTGTATGTGTGCGTGGTGTACGTGTGCGTGTGTGTGGTGTGTGTGTGGTGTATGTATGTGGTGTGTTGTGTGGTGTATGTGTGTGTGTGCTGTATGTGTGCATGTGTGTGGTGTGTGTGTGGTGTGTGATGTATAAGTGTGTGTGGTGTGTTGTGTGTGGTGTATGTGTGTGTGTGCTGTATGTGTGCATGTGTGTGGTGTGTGTGGTGTGTGTGTGTGTGCTGTATGTGTGCATGTGTGTGGTGTATAAGTGTGTGTGGTGTGTGTGTGGTGTATAAGTGTATGTGGTGTATGTGTGCGTGTGTGTGGTGTATAAGTGTGTGTGTGGTGTGTTGTGTGTGTTGTATAAGTGTGTGTGTGGTGTGTGGTGTATGTGTGCGTGTGTGTGGGTGAGGTGTGTGGTGTGTGTGTGTGGTGTGTGTGAGGTATGTGTATGTGGGTGGGGGCAGGGTGATATTTATTTTCTAGGGCTGCCACGACAAAGTACAAACCGGTTTGCTTAAACAGCAGACACTGATTGTCCGCAGTCCTGGAGGCTAGAAGTCTGAGATCATGGGTCGGCAGGGCTGGATCCCTCTGAGGGCTGCGAGGCCGAGCCTGTTCCAGGCCGCTCCCCTAGCTTCTGGTGGTTCGCTGGCAATCTTTGCTATTCCTTAGCACGCAGAAGCAAAGCCGTGATCTGACTTCTCCTTTACGTGATGTTCTCCCTGTGTGTGTGTGTCTGTGCCCAAATTCCTCTTTTTATAAGAACACCAGTCATACTGGATTAGGCTCGACCATGAGGACCTCATCTTAACAAATGACATCTGCAACGACCCTATTCCAAATAAGGTCACATTCTGAGGGAGTGGTGGTTAGGGCTTCAGCGTATGAATTTCTGAGGAACACATTCAATCCATAGCAGAGAGGGGAGATGGGGAGAGAGGCTGGATGGGGAGCAAGGGGAAAGGAGGTGGCGGAGAGGGTCTGGCTGGGCTGAGTGGGCTGGGCCTGTGTGTATCTCTCTGGCTAGGATGGCGCTCCAGGGGCAGGTGTCTGATGGTGCTCAGTGTCTCTCATGACGGGAGCATCTGTCACTGTGAACGTCTGTAAGCAGCAGGTAAAGGACACGCTGATTGTGACCAAGCTGAACGAGTATTATACTATCACTGGCCCACCCATCTACCACTGGTACTGACTCGTGAAGCCTATCTTTTCTCACAGAATTCCACTGTCTTCAACGTGGTAAGATTAACAGACAGACTTCTAACATAAGCTGTCTTCACAGGGCCTTGAGGCTGGATTACCTCAGTTACAACAAAACAGAATTTTCAAAAATAGGAACTCAACTTAAAGATTTAAAATTGAGGTAAAGTGGCCTTCGGAAAAATATGTAAATACAAGATCATTTGCTCGCCCCAATCGTGGAAGCTTGATTCAAATAGCGCGTGCCTGCTCTACATGCAAAGTGAACATCCTGATTGCCTGTAAATGCCTCAGGAACTCATTTCTTCTACAGTTTACTTGGCATTACTATCGCTGCAGAAATGTGCAAATGAGACGGGTGCTAATATCAATCAGTACATTGGTATATACCAAATCAGCTTAAGTGAGGACAAGATAGTTATAATTATTCTTAAAACCCACGAGACCATTTCTAGCCGTCAGGAGGGCCCATGAACTAGGAAACTGAGGCTTGCTGACATCTCAGCGACACCTGGGCAAAAGCCTACTGGAATCCGGGTCAGGTTCTGTGGGCTGCCATGGCTGAACACTGGGCAAACACGGGTTTCGCTGATGCTTTGGGGTTCGCAAGCCCCAGAAGATCTGTCCACACTGATCCACTCTGCTCAGTTCTGAGGCAACTCGGGGCAGGGCCATCGAGCCCACCCACCCCAGCAAGGACTGCACGTGCGCACGTGCGCGCACACACACACATGCACACACACGCACGCACACCCACACGCATGTGCACACCCACACACATGCACACACGCATGGACACATGCACACACCCACACACACCCACACACACACACAGAGCCCCCAGCCCCAGGTGGGAACAGCTAGATGAAGCAGTGCACACACACGCACGCACACACACACACGCATGCACACACACGCACACATGTGCACACACACACCCCCATGCACACACGCAGCTCCCAGCCCCGGGTGGTGGGAATAGTTGGATGAAGCAGTGCACACACACACGTATGCACACACGCAGCTCCCAGCCCCGGGTGGTAGGAACAGCTGAAGCAGTGCGCGCATGCACACACACACACCCATGCACACACGCAGCTCCCAGCCCCAGGTGGTGGGAACAGCTGAAGCAGCGCACACACGCACACACACCCACACGCATGCACACACATGCATGCACACATGTGCGCACATACACGCAGCCCCCAGCCTCCAGCCCCAGGTGGTGGGAACAGCTGGATGAAGCAGTCAAGAGAACATGGGTTTCAAAATCCAATCTGGGTTTCAACTGCAGCCATGCCCCTCACTCGCCGTGCCATCCCAGGCAAGCTGTTGCTCTTCTTTGAGCTTCAGCTTCCTCCCAGATAGGAACATTAATCCATACCCAGAGGCTGTGTGAAGATTAAACAGCATTTCATATGAGGAGCCCTCGCACAGAGCCTGGCAAGAGCCACTCCTTGGTCCGTGGACCTTCCCGTCTTTTCTCCCTTCCACAGTAAGGATGGAGCCGCCTCAGGAAAACATCTCCCACTGATTTCGCCGCAACTGCAGGATGGAAACGGAGGTGAACATCTGGCGGGAGCTCGGAAAAACGCCAGTTTCTGACACTATCTTCGACAAGCCAGGGAGTTGGGAAAGCTTGGGAGGGGAGTGGTGCACTAACGTATATTAACACTTACTACGAGGCAGGCACCGTTCCAAGAAGCTGACATGTTTTCAAGAATCTTAATTCTCAGAACATCCCTGATTAGGTAGTACGCTTATCCTTAACATAGGGGGAAACTGAGGCACAAAGCGGTTTACTGGTTTGTCCAAGGTCACAGGGCTATTAAATAGTGGAGCCAGGACCTGAACCCAGGCAGTGTGAACCCAGCACTCACGGTCTTTTTTGTTAGAATCCTTTTTCTCTTTAATCAGTTTTGGATTTCCCCTCTGTTTCATGAGCTTTTTGCTTTACTTTTTAGCCATTCATTCCACAAACACCTACTCGGAGCCAGGCCTGGGAATGCCGAGCTTGGCTGAGGGAGCCTGCACAGCACCCACAGGACCAGGCAAAGAGGCGGAAAGGGGTGTGGCCAGGAGAAAGGGTTGTGGCCAGGAGAAAAGGGTGGAAAGGAGCCCTGGGCATTCTGATAGTGCCAGAGGGTGCTCCTGAGGCCGGCGGGCAAAGAATGCTATGAAGAAGGGGTGTCTGAGTTGGCCATGAATGACAGAGAGGATTTCTCAAGGTAGAGATGGGTGAAGAGAAGTCCCTCCAGGTGGCAGGAACAGTGCAAGCAAAGATAAGCAGGTGAAAGCTTGGCACAGCATCTGGGAGCCATGAGTGCCCAATTTGGCTAGAGCGTACTGAGTCAGTGCCAGGTCACAAACGCCTTGAGTGCCAGACCCCTGGGTTGAAGATTCTGAATGCATTCCAAGATTCAATTAAGGAAGCAGGATGATCTGCCCATGATTTTGCCCACTTATGGTGGCAGCCAATCATCCTGCAACAACTGTGCCCCAGTCCACACGCTTCCAGGGAAAGCTGCATTGGGTGGCCCCCTTCTCGCTCCTCCACGTGAAGCCCTGAACTCAGCTGCCCAAATTTGTTTCTCCACAAAGTACAGCCACACCATTGCACCCAAAATGGAGGATCTGAGGGGCCAAGGAATGACTACTGCCTGGAGAGCCGGGAGACACGGAGCATCACCTTCCACCTGCGTTGAGCTTCTTTTCATTTCACTCCATGTACTAAATAAGCCATTTTGAGCACCTGCTCTGTGTACGGTCCTGTGCCTGGGTCCCATGAGACCCAAATCATTGTCATTTCTCTAGCACTTGAAACACATCTGTCCCCCTACACCCACAATCACATTATACAACCATGTCATCAACAAGTACATTTCTACTAAAAAGTTCCTGCTCATGACAGTGCTGGGAGGACATCTCTTTACACGTTTAATTACGAAGACCAGGACCAGACATGAAATCCTAATGACCCAAATGAACAGCACTTGATGTAGAAGGCAGCGCGGCTTTGCCCACATTCCCTGAACCTCTGTCAAGCTTGTGACAAGCTTTCGTCAATCAGACGAAACTAAGTGAAAAAGCAATCGCTTTTGGAGCACGCAGGAAGGTAGCAGTCTTACAGGCTTAGAAAACCAGGGAGGAGTGAAGCCGCTCAGTGGTCTCCCTGCCGGTGCAAGGAGGCTGCCACCTGCAGAAGGTGCTAACGCCAAGTGTGGGAAGACACCGGGGTCGGCCTGGGCGCAGTCACTCCTGGGTGGAGGCTGAGCTTGGGAGTGTGAATGCCGCAGGCCCCACCCGTTCCACTCGTCAAAATCGTACCTAGCTGAGGTTGCACAGTTGGCTCCTCCCAAACCTCCCGTTGATCCTCCTCCTATTGAGAGGTTGGAACGAGGGAAACTAAGCTTCCCAGATGCCCAAACGGCGAGAGCTCGGGACGTGAATCAGGTGCTGCGACTCGGGAACTAGTGTGCTCACATGAGACGTGCCCGGTGAGAATGTGGCTTCTGGCTGTCACTGCTGGTTAGACGGTCCCAGTCACCTTGAACCCAGGTCGTGCTGCCGCTTCCTGAGTACCAGAAAAGCAGGGCAGTGGTGGTGATTTCTGTCCAAACTCCATAATCCTCAGACCTCAACTTAGACTGTTCATCCTTCAGCCTCCTAGAGAGTCCAGGAATGGCTGTGGGCTGGCAACAGCTGCTTCTGAACTAGCCAGGAGTCCTTCAAAAGGCCCAGCCGGAAACCTGCCCCTTGAGCCCCTCCAACAATGTTGTAAGCACCTAATTCCAACAAGAAACTCCTTCTGCTTACACCACCTGGAGTGGTTTCTGCTTCCTACGCGATCCCTGGTTGATAAACCCTGCCTGGCAAACCGAGCACGCGTGAAGGCCTCAGGAGCCACAGTGGAAGTGGTTTGGAAAGCACAGCTATTTACAGGACGACTCCCTTCATCTGGTGCGGAGCAGTAACCCCCTCGTCTGGCTCCGGCAGCACACCGTGTGCGCTCTCACCTTTGAGCTGAGGTGTTCACGTCCGAGGTGGAGGAAGGAGGGCGGCAGGTGCAGGCCAGGACCGGACCTCGGTTATCTAGAGAGTAACTAACAGTGCTTTGTCAGAGGGCGAGAGGGTCTGATGGGGGCAGCTCTGTATGAAAACTGGAGGCGCTGAGGCTGTCCTCAGGCTCAGGAGACAAAGACCGAGGACAGGTGACAGGGACAGTGATAAGGAGCTGGGCCGCTCAGGAGATGGCAGGAAACTCAAGTCAGGCAGCTGAAGCATGCACTATTTGCCACAAACGGAGTCGGGCTATCTAAAACAGGTTGTTTACGTGGACTTGATGGGCCTATAAGACTCAGCGACAGGGAGAAGCAGCTGGATTGGGGTGTGTTGAGCTTTCCTGTCACCCAAGGCAGAGGGGCGCTGTGTTCTGGTAGGTGACATGCACTATGAGATCTCAAGAGCAAGAGAAAGAAGGCATGCCACCACGAGCGGTGGAATCTGCACCATGCTGGATCTACTGACACATCTAAAACATTCTCAACTGCAGCAACATTTCTGGGCAAGTAAGTTCTAAGCGTGTCTGTTTCCCCTCACAAATTCTAACCAGAATGCTTTAAGCCAATGCTTCTCCAATTTTAATGTTTCTGTGAATTATCTGGGGATCTCGTTAAAATGTAGATTCTGAGTCAGTAGGTCTGGGGTGGGGTCTGAGATTCTGTTTCTGGTCCATGAACTACACTTTGAGTAGTGAGACTTGAAGCTTCAGAAACATCAGTCAAGATCCAAACTATTTACAGGTGCACTGCCAAGTGCACATCAGCAAGAAGGGAGGGAACTTGGCCCAGGAAACACAAGAGAGAGACAGTAGAACCAATCCACAGGACAACTTATCAGCTCTCACCGGCTTGCAACTCTATTTCCTGCTCTCTCCCTCACCCTTACCCTGGGACGCTTGGGAGAATAAGATTTAATTTCCCATTTCTGGGGACTCTAAAAACTGTGCAGAAGGGAAAGGGAAGGTAAGTCATTGAGGGCTGACCATCTCCAGGACCAGGTAAAGGCTGAGACGGAAACACACTTGCTTGCCTGCCTGACCCAGAAAGCCTTGTTCTCCTTTCTGGAACCTCGGGAGCAAAACAGGCAAAGGTCCCACAGGTGATTGGGGGAAGAGCAATCCAGATGGCAGATAATCCTATACAATAATGCTCAGGCACACCAGGGGTCAGAGAAATGAAACAAAGTAACAATGAAGTGTTACTGCCCACCCATCAGCCCAGCCAGCACAAACAAGGAAATCACAACTGATGCTACGGGGATGTGGAAACAGGTGCCTTCATGTACTATTAATGGAAGTGAGAATTGCTGTAGTTTATTGGGAAAACAATCTGGAAACATCCTATATATATATAGTGTATACACACACACACACACACACACACACACATCCCCTTCAGCTCAGCACTCCTACTCTTGGGAATCTATGCCTGGGAAATAAAAGCACTAGCTCGGAAGGACACATACACACACGCGTCCATATGTACAAATGAGAATGTTTGTGGAAGCATTATTTATAAGTGAAAAAACTAGAGATAAAATGAATGCCATCAAAGTAAGAATGTTGAATCAGATGTGGGCCATCCATCCTATGGACTACATTAGCAGAATGAAATAAGAGAGGCATACCAGTGAACTTGAGGGATTTTTCTATGAAGTACTGATGAGCAAGAAAAGCAACATGCAGTAAATTTGATTCATATGATCTCATTTTTATAAAACAATTTTTAAAAACTTGTACATGTATCTATGTGTTGATGTGTGTCATAAGTGTCTATGACTTTTATAAGCACAGATAAACATATGGGAGGATTCCAAGTTATTAAATGAGTTATTTGGTGTGGAGTAGGGGTCGGGGTAGCGTGGAAACAAAGGGAAAAACTCCATGCACCCCCCTCTCTCACGCACACATGCATGCACACATCCAGGGAAACAATAAGAATGAGGGGTCCCTGGCCCTCTTTCCCTCTGTGGTGCCTGCCCGGAGCTCAGCTCTTGTGGGTAGCTGTCACTACAGGACACTGTGGAGGGGACTAATTACATGCCAATAAGTGTAAAGGTCAGTGGCCATCTCAGTGCCACTCAGCACTGGAGTTCCCATTCCTGGGCCCCTGGGCCACAGCCTCCCCGTCGGAATAACACTTGGAAATTTCCAGGAAGAAGAAATTCACTCTGCTCAGGGCAGCATGTTCTACTTTTTGAAAATGACTTTTTAGTGAGTTCTTTCTCACATGATGCTGAATTTCACCCCTTAACGCTTCTGCTCTCTGCTCCACGTCCTGCCCCCTAGAGCCACAAGGAACAAGTACATTTCCTGTCCCATATGAAGACAGAGATAATGCCCCCCTGGGCTTTCTCTTATCTTAACTAAACATCCCCAGTCCTGCCACCGGTGCTGAGCACTCATCTAAGGCATTTCCTGATGGCAGGTCAGGTTCTTACTCCTCCAGTGAGACACAGGGATTTTGATAAGATGCAGGCGAAGACCCCAAATCTCCAAGCCTTCCCAAGGAACAAGTCAGCACTACCCCTATCAGAAAAACTCTGAAGGAGATACAGAGCAGGGTGGGGAGGAAGGCAGTTCCAAAGGTCCTTCTAATTTCCTTAGGAGCCCCATGGCCCGTGGCCACCACTAGCGTGACTACACAATGACTGCCTCCCAGCTTCCACACCGGGCTCCCAGTGCATGTCACCGAGCTTGCCTGGCCATGACTCATGCAGGAAAGGCTGCACAGGTGACGCCAGGTGTGGACATGGCAGAAGGAACGGAAGATGAGGTTAGGCTTGGCTTCCTTGCAATCACCTTCTGAAGGGCTGTGGGCTGCAGCAGGGGCACTGGGCATTCCAAGCTGGGGGAGAATGCAGCCTTCACAGACTTGCCACAGGCACCTATGCCCCAGGGGCATACACAAGGGACTGCAAAGGGAGAAATGAACCATGGTGAGTTAAATCTCATTAATGCAAAACCTACCAACCCAGAATTAGAGAGACCTGGGCCTGGAGTTGACAGCGCCAATCCCAGAAACAGCTTTCACGGGTAAAGATACGAGTACACAATGTTTCAGAATTCCCGAAGGAGGTGACGTAGTAAACTTTCGAAACGTAGTTCCCTGAAGGAGGAATCTTCAGTGGGGTTCTAAGAGCACTGCGTTCCTCTGGGGCTCTGTCATTAGCTGTACATCAGCAGGCAGGTCACCTCTCTGCTTTGAGCCTCAGTTTTGTCTTTGAAAAAATGGAAATAAGCCCAGGCGCGGTGGCTCATGCCTGTAATCCCGGCACTCTGGGAAGCCAGGGCGGGTGGATCACGAGGTCAGGAGTTTAAGACCAGCCTGGCCAGCATGGTGAAACCCTGTCTCTACTAAAAATACAAAAAAAAAAAAATTAGCTGGGTGTGGTGGCACGCGCCTGTAATCCCAGCTACTCGGGAGGCTAGGGCAGGAGAATCACTTGAACCTGGGAGGTGGAGGTTGCAGTGAGCCGAGATTGCGCCATTGCACTCCAGCCTGGGAGACACAGCGAGACTCCATCTCAAACAAAAAAAAAAAAAAAAAAGGAAATAACATATATAGTGAAGCTGATATAAAAATCCAATAAGGGAAATCACATAAAATGACTATGTGACCTTAGATTGCTGTATAAATATGACTTTATTGGTCCTGCTGAGGACAGGCGATGAAGGGTATCCAGTAAGGGACCTGGGTAGCTGCTATGAAATGAGTGACTGGGTGATAACATGAGCCACTTTTCCCAACAAGAAGACAGAAAGAATGGATCAGAAACCAGGAGAGGATTCCAAGTGAATCAAGTGTAAACACACTCCTAGCCCGGGCCCCGCACAGAGTATATGGCCTGACAATGAAGCGATGGCTGGAGCTACATTCCACGACAATGAGCTGGATGCCCCCAGATGAGAGGAGGCCTCCGAGGGCTGTTTCGTCCTCACTCCGCAGAACAATGCTGAGTCTCCCGAATGCCTCTTTTGTTCCATACGGCACAAACATCACAAACATCTTTTAACCACCCTGTGTTTTCCTAGCTGTTTGTTCTTTTCTCAAAGGTCCTAAGATCACAGAATCATCTCCAAGAACAATAGCTGGGGAGCCTGTTCTGCAGTTGAAACAACAAGGTCAAGGGGTTTGTGGCTGAAGCAGGGAAGGCAGGGGGAGGTCAGGGGCTGGGCGGGGCGGGGGGAGCAGCCTGTCCCTGCATTCCCTTGGGATGGGAAGTTCCCACTGGGCCCGCAGGATTCCTGCTCGTGACTGGGGTACCGGCTGCCTGTCTCTAGGATCAGATTCCACTCAAAACTCACATGCTGTCTCTTTTCTCTCTGAAAACAAAAAGCTTAGATTTCTCCTCTGTCTTCAGCCTAAGGCCTCTATCCAGGTTCCACGGACAAGATGATCTACTCAAAGGAGGGCAGAGCCTGGGCGTCCAGCAAAGGCCTCACCCCCACCCACTCTGACACAGTAGCTGCCCCATCCTCCTGGGGGTGCCCCTCCCAACCCCACCACTGCCCTCTGCTGCTCAGATGCCCCCCCCGCCCCAGCCCCCATGGCCACAGAGAAGGAAAGCCTGGTAAAGAGCTTCAGGCTGGGCATGGAATCCTGGCTCCACCACATCCTGGCTCTGAGGCTGGCCTTGAACCATGTGTAAACCATCTGTGCCTCAGTTTTCTCATCTGGAAAATGGGAGTAATATTCATATTGACCTTACAGCATTGCCGTGAGGATTCAGTGACACTCCATATAAAGCAAGCATTGAGCACAGTGCCTGGCACAGGGTGCACCCCAATAACATTAACTAACATTATTATTCCTGTTCAGCTGTAGCAACAGAAACACCCCTGTATTCCCATGACTATCGTTAGCATTGCTATTATCCCTGCAGTGTTCTCCTCGGATGGCTCCATGAAAAGTGCTTAGTAACTCTGAGAGTGAAACCCATTTCATTCAGGATTCAGAGTCAGGATTTCCCTTCTCCGTGGCTCCGTCACTGAGCACCGACTCTGCGGGGTCCCGGAGGGGAAGACAAGGCAAGCTCACGGCACCTGAGAAGCTGGAAGAGCACGGAGAGGGTGTGCGGCCTGGCTGGCACAGCTCCTGCATGTCAGGCCAGCCCCCGCCCTGTT
The DNA here is from genome assembly GCF_000001405.40 of Homo sapiens. Lineage (NCBI taxonomy): Eukaryota > Metazoa > Chordata > Mammalia > Primates > Hominidae > Homo > Homo sapiens. Next base: position 195,120,882 of record NC_000003.12, read on the forward strand.
CCCAGACAGTCAGGGTTCCTAGGGCTTACTCCCCCAAACCCTCACCTGCAAATCAGGCTCGTGGTGTTCCCCTACCTCCCTGGGGCTCACAGGCAGGAGAGTGTGAGGGTGTGTGACGTGTGTTGGAGCTAAGATTATATAGCTGGGTGGCCTGTGGGCCACACCTAGCCTGCTGCTGCCTCCTCCGTGAGCACCCCCATGCTCCCAGGGCCCAAACACCCGGGAACCACAGCACACCGGCCATGCCCTTGGAAATGCTGCATCTACCAAAGCCTCCCTGAGCTGCAGGAAGGCCTTGGCCGCCCAGCCATTGAGAGGTCTATCTTTTCACCCGAGGATGTGATCTGCCCTCTACTCAGGCTACACCTACCGAGGCCTTCCAGGTAGAAATTCAGCCAAGGCCTGCCCCAGCGTGTGATTCAAAGGACAAGATGGTGATGAGAGACGGGGTTCCCTCTTGTACAGAAAGCCTTGGGTTGGTGCACGCAGGATGGATGGAGACTGACGCCCACCACCCGCATCTCTGCTCCTTTAACTCCTTTTGGCCTTCATACCCTCCAGGATGACCTCCCAAGACAGGGTTCCTCTAGATATTTTGCTCCCCTGCTGAATTCAGAGCCTCTGAAGGCTCCTCTTTGCTGCCTAGCCCCAAATGACGTTCTCATCTTTTCTGCCCCTACGCCCCACTCTAAAACCTTCCTCAGTCACACTGAGCATTCCCTCATCCCCAAACCTCCTCTGTGCTTTCTAACCACTTGGGTTTGGAGCTAGCAGACATGCTGGTCCTATTCTGGAGAATGGCACCCAAAACAAGAAAGGCTGAGGGCCTCGTGCTGAGACTCTACAGGAGAACACTCGCCAGGTCGGGGACTCAGGCAGCTTTATTCCAGCATTCTAGCCCTACCATCAACTGGCCCTGTGACCTGGGCAAGTGGCTACCCCTCTCTAGGCCTCAGGATCCCCATCTATAATACTGGGTGCTGACCAAGTCATCTCTAAAGGCATCGTCTAGCACTGGGCCTCCAAGAGAAAGCCCAGCCTGGACCCTACATTGTCATCCTCCATTCCTCTTGTCTTAGTTCAAGCTATTATAACAAAGTACCACAGACTGGGTGCCCATAAACCACAGAAGTCAAGTTCTTACAGTTCTAGAGGCTGGGAAGTCCAAGACCAACGTGCCCACTGATTCTGTGTCTGGTGAGGACTCACTGCCCAGTTCACAGATGGCTGCCTTTCCCCAGTCTCCTCATATGGTGAAGGGGTGACAGAGCTCTTCAGGGTCTCTTTCATCAGGACACTCATCCCATTCATGATGACCTAATCACTCTCCAAAGGCCCCACCTCCTGATACCATCACACTGGGGGTTAGGATTTCAACACATGAATTTTGGGGGGATACAATTATTCAGTCCATTGCACCCCTCAGTAGTCTAAAAGGGCTGAGGTTAAAAACGCAGATGGGAAAAGTAAGGCTCTGATATCTCCCCATCCTCCAGACGAAGGTGGAACACCAGCTCAGTGTCTAGCTGGAATGTAGTACTGAGTAGTAGTACAGCAGTACTGAGTAGTACTACTTGGTAGTACTGTAGTAGTAGTACTCAGTACTCAGTATCAGTACAGCAGCTCAGTGTCTAGCTGAGAAGTCCAGCTGGAAAGTACCCCATGCCTGAGCACCCCAGAGCTGGGTCCTAGGAGAGCCCACAAACAGGTGAGAAGGGATGAGTCCCAAGGTCCTTCGACTCCACAGGAAGGGGGAGGCGACTGCCAGCCCCAGCACCACAAATTAGCCAGGAAGCTGAGAGAAAGAAGGAAGTTTCCAGCTTTTTTGGTTTCACATTATTGACGGCACGTAACAAACTCCCCTCACCACCCCATCAGTGTGACAGCGGGGGCGACACGCTCCCCTTGGTGGCTCAGCAGCAGAGTGGGAAGAGCATCTGCTATCTCCACATCACTGTGCCTGGGGCTGTTTGCAGCCCTCCAAGAAGGACACTGAGCCCTCTGTGCTCAGAGACAGGGTGTGGCCAGCTGGAAAGGACCAGGTGCTATAAGCCAGGAGCCCGGGCACTGGCCTGGTTCTGCAACGAACCAGCTTGGTGACCTTGACAAAGTCACTGTTCTCTGATCTCACTTTCCTACACTGAAAAATGAAGGAGCTGGAGGAGATGATCTCCATGTTCCCATTCGGCAATGTCATTCTATCATTCTACTAAATGGGAATGACAACCAGATCTAATCAGCTAGAACTCATTCAACCAATATTTTTAGGTATCTTCAATGTGCAAGCCTCTAATTTACCAAAAAAAAAAACCCTACATTTTTTTCCTGAATGGCTACAGGCAGTGGAAGAAGTGGAGGGGCCCACCACCTATCCATCATAGTGGACAAATCCCCCCAGCACAGCATAAGGGGCTGCCTAAACCCCGCCATCAGCATCCACTCCCCAGAGCCTCCCCGTCAGCAAGCCCCCCTCTCCTGGCCGGCTGACGGAATTACAGAGGGCTTAATCTGTACCAATCTTCCCTCTCCTGACTGATGAGGCTTTGGGGATTCTGGGAGAACACGGAGGTGCTACTGCCTGAGTCACTAACGTCGGTGATATAACAGAGAAGGCCTCCCTGGAATATCTCTGCAGGCAGAAGACGAGTGAGTCCTGAGGGCTGCAAGGCCTGCGTCTGAAGGAGCTCGTCAGCTGAATTATTAATGGGACTCTGAACGCTGCTCAAGTTTCCCCTGACAGATGCTTTCGCCAGCTGATGGTTCTGAGACCAATTAAGAATGATTGCGGATTCCAAGGCAGTGCCACCACCAGTGAGCATCTTAAATGTCTCCGGAGCCCACTGCAGGAAATTCACAGCCAGCCATCTCCTCAGACGCGGGCACGATAATCACAAAGGGGGGCACCAGATGCTACAGGGTCTGGGCCACTGCCCCATATCAACTTCTGTCCCCCGCCCAGGACATCACCAGAACCCTAATTCCAGCACACAGAGCAGAAGGCCCTTCAAAGACCTTTGCAGCAAATTCCAAGGGTCCTAATGCCTCAGGAAAACAGGTATCATGTGAACAAAGGGATCTGGGTCAAAAAGCTTAAAAAAGCTAACGCTCAACAAAGCTAGACAGGACTGTGTACTTCAGGACTTCTAGGAGCCTTTAGTGTGCTCCGTGAATCTAGAAGAGGGGGAATAAAATGTACGTATTTCTCAAACTTACTTGATCATTACACCCTTTTCTTCCAGGACACATTCTGGGATTGGTGTTCCATGGAACTCACCTCGAGAAGTGTGGGTCTAGACCACAGCCCTCATTTTACAGACAAAGAGACAGAGGGCCAGGGTGGTTACGCAGTAAGCCAGATCTCAGGTAGAGTCCCTCATACTAAACGGCAATGTTCTAGGTGCTTGTCAGCTGCTTTAAGGAAAATGACAAGGTTTTCTACAGGAACTGACCAGATGGTTGGGGGCTGGACTGAGATGCTTCTGGGAGAACGATGGGTATAAATCCAAGACCTAGGACTCACCTGGAAGGGAAATGGTTTGCGATGGCAGCATGAGAGAGCTCTGGGGCTTTGGGCCTGGCACAGAATAACTTTGTTTTCCCCTGATAATTTGTCTAGTGTTTCTAGGCCTCCCCCTCTAGACTGTGAATTCCGTGGGGGCAAGGACCACGTTTGTTTTGCTCACGAACGCAGCCCCAGCACCTGGCACAGTGTCTGGTAAGCAGGCAGTGCTCAGGAAATATTTGCTGACAGACTGATAAACTAATGAGCACATGCCTTACTGTCAACTTCCAAAAACCCAAGACACTTTGAACCCCGTGGGAGTGTGGACCCCACATCAACCTCCAGTATCACAAGACTGCCCTCGCTGGCCGGGACACAGTCAGCCAGGTTCCAGGGACCACAACTCCCACTAGAGCCAAGCAGCGTACGGACAGGGGCTGGCTCCGGGAAGGCTGGAGTCTGAGCCGGCACTGGCAGCGTTTTTCACGGACGCAGCACACATCTGTATTTTCTATCAGGCTGCGGGTGCACAAGGCTGTCCCGGGTTATTTGAAGGACAGAGGGAAAAGAGCAGTACGAATAAATGGCATCTCAGCTTCTTTCAAGCTAACCCATTCTTTATTCATTTATTACACATTTACTGAGCAGTTACAGGGAAAGAGAAAAAAATGAAAGGCTTGATCCCCGCCCTCAAGAAGCTGATAGAAAAAAGAGAATGTGTAAAAAAGAGAAAATAAGAATGAGAAAAAAGAGGTGTGTAAGGGGCCACATGGCAAGGAAGACAGTGACGTCAGAGACACCTAGGCTAAACCTGTCCCCAAGAGCAGGGGAGGGGACCCGGCTCCGACAGGGAGCTGAACTGATATTCAGCTAGGGGCCTGGACATGATGCTTTTGGCCTCTACTCCTCGACCTTCGACCAAACAGTCCTAAAAGTGGGGGAAGCCTGGGGCCTGGGCCTTTCATCCCCATTTCCTTCCATTGCGGGGCTGGAGAATTGGGAGAGCAGCCCAGAGCAGGCTCTCCTTAGGTAGGGCCATGGACCAGGAGGGCAGCCCTAGCCTGTCCACCGGAGGGGCGTAGGAAGGAGCTCACAAGGCCAGGATATGAGCTCACAAGCCTGGTGGGGGTGGGCAATGGGGAAGAGCCCAGGAAGGGCAGCAAAGGGCTGTGACATCTGCCCTCCCCACCACCTGATTCAAAACTCTTTCGGTGGGGGGTCATCCTCCATCAGAACTCAAGCTCAATCAATCCCCTGGCCCCACGCTTCCAAATGCAAATTATCTCAATGAAGCGAAGAAGCCATATTGATTTTCAACTGAAATCTTGCCTGGAAATAAGTTGAAATGTTCATGATCAAAATCTGTGGCCAGGAGATGGGATCAGACCTAGAGGCCCTGCTGGCGCCAACCTGGTAGCAGGTGTTGGCAGAGACCTGCGTGAGGACAGTCCTAGGCAGTCACAGCCGCTCCAGCGGGCATCCACCTCCCGCAGCAGCCAGAACCCCGCCCAGACAACACTGCCCTCAACAGGGAAGGTGCGGGCAGGAGCAGCTCTTCCACAGGTTCACGATACCCCGAGATAACTGAGAAAGACACAAGGAGTGCCCCCAAAACCACATGGAGGCATTTCTGCTATATAGTCAGCAAATGAAAAATGTCAACAGTGACCTACGCCCAAATCACATGCATGCCATAAGGTTATTTTTCAATTTCTGTTTACTGCAGACCCGCCTTGGGCAAGCTGGTGCAGTTTTCTTTTCTTTAGTGAGTTGAGTTCTACCCCTAACACACAGGTGAGGTCGAGAGGCCCACTCAGTGCTGCGTGAGGCAGGATAAGGCCGTGAATGAAAGGCTGCCAGACCCAGGCCTGCGGAAACCACAGTAGCCACAGAGCTAAGCGGTGGGGTATTCGTTACCGCACCTGACCCTCTTTGGCGCTGTCCTGGCCTGTGGCAGGTCAGAAGTTGCCTTCCCACTGGTAAATGCGATTGGTCATTCTGTGATCATTCATTCATTCATTCACTCATTTACAGTAGTCCCAAATATTTGCTGGGACTGTGTACAACAGAGCATTGTACCAAGCACTGGGGATATAAAAGTGATGAAGGCACAGTTCCTGCTCTCTAGAAAGGAGCCCATGGATTTGGCCTTCTACCTTTGGTGTTCTCAATTCTGCGACAGTCTCGGCAAAAAACCCAACCGGGCATAAAGACTTGACATTCTGCACAGGAAGGAAGCACGCAGGGACAGAATGTCCATTTGTGAGAAAAAGGAGATACAAAAAATAGACATCCCTGGAGGGCTCCTCCTCCTTCTTTCAATTTGATCCCAACACTCCCCTCCCTAGAGAAGACAAGACTGTTCAACAGCATTGCCACCCCATCTGCCAGGTGGCCGGAGGGAGCAAAGGCACAGCCTCCCAGGGGCCCTCTGCTCTGACCTGGCTGCCTGGTGGAAAAACACTACAAATCTGGTAGGAGGTGATTTGATTTTCTTGCCTGGTTGCGATGCAGTTATGGTGTTATAAAACAGAGGGTCCGAAAGACTCTCACAGGGAAGCAGAAGGAAATGGTCTTTTCATCTTCCCATGTACCATTCTGTAACTCAAGTGCAGCAACCTCCATTTTACAGAATGTTCCCTCTGTGGATTTTCAGAGCCAGGCTAAGAAAATGAAAGAAGTCTTCAGGGGTAGAGGTGGGAAGAACCTGAGGGACCTGGGGTGGGCATCTGCGTTCTAGAAGAGTCTTCGCTTTGGGAAAAGCCTTCTCCAACACAGCTCCCCGGTAAACATGAGTGTTCAGAGATCAGTGCTTAAAAGAGAGGCCTTAGGAAGGGAGACACAGCAAAACTGGAATCTAAGTTTGGGGAGTACCTCACACGGCGGATTTGACTCTCAAGCATCATCCGTAGATTTGGTTTTGTGTTACTCCTGGGTGTCTTTGTCAGTTCCTCCAGGGGTGCCATGGACTTGCTAAAAAGGTGCTGGAATCAAAATTTTAATTCACGTATTTGTATTGATTTAGTTATTCCTCAGGCCCCATCTACTTGCAAAGATTTCGAGGTGGCATGTAATAAAGAAAATATAGACAATGCTAAAAGTTTAAAAATAGTGAGGTGTGGTGGCTCATGCCTGTAATCCCAGCATTTTAGGAGGCCGAGACAGGAGGATTACTTGAGCCCAGGAGTTCAAGACCAGCATGGGCAACATACTGAGACCCTATCTCTACAAAAAATCAAAACAATTTGCTGGGCATGGTGACACGTGCCTGTAGACCCAGCTACTTGGGAGGCTGAGGCAGGAGGATCACTTGAGCCCAGGAGGTTGAGGCTGCAGTAAGCCATGATCATGCCACTGCTCTCCACCTTGGGTGACAGAGTGAGACAAAATGTGTGTGTGTGTGTAATTTTTCTGAAGAGCAAAACGCCATGTAGAAAGAGGAAGTATTAATAAAAAGTAAGATATTTGATTGATCAGAATGAATTTTGAAGGGTCTGTGAAATGATTATATAAATCATTGAAAGAGGTAATTGTGCAAATGTGTACATCACATAGGCTGACATAGTATCAGAGCTAGAAGGGAGCTTAAACATCCAAACATCCGTCTCCTCATACAGATAGTTGGGAAACCCAAGGTCCAGGCAAGTGAAAGAGCCTGGCATGCCAGGAGCCCAGGGCCCATGAGGACCTGTAACCTGCAACGGGGCCAGGGAAGCTGACGGCACATGGCCACACCACTGGTGGGAGGCAGACTCAGAACACTTCCATCCCTTTCTAGCATGCAGTCCTAGTCTGCTCAGGGAAGTGTTGATAGCTCAGCCTCAGTACAGCCCCCCAGGGAGGCAAATGACTGACAAACGCCTGCACATCCCTTCCTACCTGACACACCACATCATCACCCACCAGGGCGCCCAAGCCAGAACCCCCAGTGCATCCTTAACCCATAGCGCATTCATCCTCCTTTCCAGCTGCCCCCCTTAAATCTCATCTCAGCCCCAGGTATTCATGTTTTCACTCCTCTCCAATCTAATCTCCACCATGCAACCAATGTCAACATCCTAAAATGAAAATGAAACCAGACCTCCCCATCCTCACCAGGATAAAGCACAAATGCCTTTGCATGGTTTATGAGGCCCTCTGTGTCTGACTCCTTGGACCAGCACTCTTACCTGCACACCCCGGGCTCCTGGACTAAACTCTCATAGCTCCCTAAACTACCCTGAGCCACTGCTCCTGTAGCTCCCTGGACCTAAAATGTCCTTTCTTCCTGACCAACTCCTGCTTTCCTTCCAATATGTCACCTCTTCCTGATGCCTTCCCTGATTACCTCTAATTGGGCCTCTCCTATGTGTTTAGAGCCCCTCATCACAATACTTATCTGTTACTTGCTTACTTGAATGTCTCCCCCCTTGTATAAGCTCCTTGAAGGTGGAGACTTTTATTTCTGTCTCTTCAAATCTTAAAACACTGGTACACAATAAATATTTGCTGTGCAAGAATGACTGGCTGACTGAATAAATGAAAGCATGCGCCAACACTGGAAGATTAGTAGAACCGTCTTGTCCCAGTGGCCAAGAAAAACATCCCCATGCGAGACGAGTCATTTTCATTCTCTTGGAAAGTAAAAAGGCAACTAAATCATTAAAATGAAATAAAAATTTTCATCTTTTAAAAAATGACTTTATACAGATCTGTCAGTACTTAATGCTTGTTCTACCCTGGAAAAAATATTGTGTGGGGGGAAGGTCGCGGCTAACATAGAGAGGGACAGCAGAGTTTAGCGTGAACACTGAAGTCTGCACTTATACGGCAGCCATTTACAACCTCCTGCCCTCTCTCTCTCTCTTTTTTTGGTAACAGCTTTCTTGACACATAATTTAAATTCCATACAATTCACCCATTTAACATGTACAATTCAGTGGATTTTAGTATGCTCACAGAGTTGTGTAACTATGACACAATTTTAGAATATTTTCATCACCTCAAAAAGAAATCTCGTACCCTTTAGCTATCGCTCCCCCAAAACTCCTGGACCACCTGCCCCAGCCCCAAGCAACCATTTTTGCCTCTTCTGGATATTTCATCTCAATGGACGCATATAGTGCGGTCTTCTGTGACGGGCTTCTTTCACTCGTCTTAATGCTTTCAAGGTGCATCGTGCTGCGGCATGTATCAATTCTTCATTCCCTCTATGGCCAAATAACATTTCATCATATTTTGCTTTTCCATTCATCAGTTGATAGACATTTGGTGATTTCCACCTTTTGGCTATTATGAATAATGCTGATATGAATGTTCATTTGCATGTTAGTGTGCGGGCGTATGTTTTCAGTTCTCTCGGGCATTTGGTGATTTCCACCGTTTGGCTATTATGACTCATGCTGATACGAACGTCCATTTGCATGTTAGTGTGTGGGCGCATGTTTTCAGTTCTCTCGGGTCTCTGTACACCTATCTAGGAGTGGAACGGCTGGTCAGGGTCACTAAGTTTGTGAACAGCCAGACTGTTCTTCAGAGCAGCTGTACCACTTCATATTCCCACCACCAGTGAGTGCGGGTTCCCATGCCTCCAACTCCTCACCAGCACCTGTTATTGTCCTGCCTTTCTTTTTTTATTATAGCTGACCAGTGGATATGAACTGGTGTCTCACTGTAGCTTTGCTTTACACTCTGCCTGATGACTAACGATGTTGAGCATCTTTTTGTGTGCTTTTTAGCCATTTGAATGTCTCTCCTGCCATTCTGCCAGTCTCAGCAAATACTCAGTGCAAGCTACTCAGTTGCCAGGATTTCCTGGTAGATCTGTGGTCCCTCTCTGAGGACCCTCAGGTACAGCCCCAGCATGCCCACCAACAGGTAGGAGCTGCCCATTAGCACCTTTAGAGATGACTCTGGAGCTGGCTTTGAAGTGACAATGATCACACTCAGTAGACAGGGACTATCTGAATGCAGCCTGCTGTCTTCTAGAAACTGCTAGGCAGGTCTGGGCTTAGAGGGGAAAGGCAGAGATGAGTGAAGATGGGGTGGACCCTGCTGGTCCTCAAGGACTTTATAACCTTTAGCTGTGGAGACACCAGGTAAGATTAAATAAATGCTTTAACCAAGTCATTAGCAGAATGCTTCAGAAATGGAGGAAAGAGGAGAGGTGATTCCTACTTACGGGTGAAGTGTAGATCAGGGAAAGGGTTCATGCCAGTAGCTATGCTAGAGCTCAGCTTACAAAGGAAGTAAGTTTCCACAGCCAGAGTTGGGGAAGGACATGCTATGCTAAGAAATCAGCCTGAGCAAAGCACTGGAGGCGAGAGGAGGGGAACGGAGGCAACAGGCAATCTGGAGGGGCTGGGCTCAAGTCAGCACCTTCAAGAATCTGAACAAATGTACCCATGGCCATACACAACAAAACGTGCATACAATTTCAGGGTGCAGGGAGAAGGGAGAGGAGGGCAGTGAGGCTGAAAGATCAGCTTGAGGCCAGATCGGAAGAGGTCTTTATGCTGCACCAACTGCGGCTTTGTCCCATACGCTCCGAAAAACAAGGCAGAGCTGGACCCAATGGTGACAGGATCCCCAAGGGTCTGCTTAGCCTGAGACCTGCAAACACAACACCATTGCCAAGACCTGCAAATTCTGCAAGCAGGACCATTCAGGTCCCTCCTTCAATGTATCCCTCGTGCCCTCTACGGCCTATTCTCAGAAATGGGACCCAAACAGTGTTCTCCCTTGTGCCGGCCTGCTCCATTGGCCGGTTCCTTCCCAAGCTGCTGAGGAAGCAGCCTCGCTTTGTCACAGGCATCCTCATTACCCACTACCTGACCCCCACATTGCTCAAACACCCTAGACTCAGAAGCCGAACCACCCTCTTTCCGTCTCCCCATTCATTTCCAAACACACACAGTCTTCTTTGTTCATGAAAGGGACAGGTGATCTGACTTGCCTGAAAGGCGGGTGGATTTTTCAGTCCTAGCTCCACATTCATCAGCACCTTACAAGTAAGGGCAGGCCTTGGCTTTGCAGCTAGCTGTTATAGAGCAAGCCTGACATATAGCCTTTGGCTAACTATAGCACAGCTATTTCTGCAACTGCAGCAAAGTGCACCACAAATCAGCAGTCACAAAGAATGGCTTGGAATCTGTTACAGCAAGAAAGTGCATCTCCAGAAAGCTCCATTCCAGCTGTAGGACACTTTTCCCGCTCTCTTTCCTCCACTGTGGTCCCAAGTCAACAATGCAAGCAACAGTTCAAACTGAGAACTGAGAACCTCCTTCTGCGAAGACCACTCTCAGAGCACAAGCAGGGGCAGGGCCAGGGTGATGAGGCAGGCAGGAGGTGACAAACCTCTATGGTAAATGTTTACCAGTGACCCCACCATATCCAGGCTAATTTCATAGTCATCACAAAATATATAATATTACCACACAGTGAAAAGAACACTCAATTATACTTGAGGCTTGGATCTTCCATTTCCTAGTTTTGTGACCTTGGACAAATTCTATAAAATGAGGACACTATCTTTGCTGTCTATCCCTGAGGGCCTCAGTGAAGAGGTTTGCCAATGAAGACAGAAGTCCAGGCAGGTGATCAGCATCTAGCAGGCCCAAGAGGAAGATGCTAGAAGCCAGCCAGTGAGACTTGGGGGAGCCAGGCGGGACCTCACTCCTAAGGAACTAAGGAACCCAGTGGGGTCCCTCAGTGCCAGCCTGCAATACCCAGAGGACAAGGATAGCATGTGATCCACACCGCTAAGGCCTGAAGCCCACCTCCACATTTACAGCTGTGACATGCTGGCCATGAGCTTTTGCCTTTCTGTGCCTCAGCTTCCTCACTTCTAAAATGGGGATAGAAATAGTATTGGCTTTATGGAGTTGGGATAATTAAACATTCCAATGCTCCAGCCTGGGCAACATGGCGAAACCCCATCTTTACAAATAAAGAAATTAGCCAGGCATGGCAGTGCGCGCCTATAGTCCCGACTACTCGGGAGGCTGAGGCAGGAGGATCACTTGAGCCTGGGAGGTCAAGGCTGCAGTGAGCCAAGATCGCACCACTGCATTCCAGCCTGGGCAACAGACTGAGACTCGGTCTCCAAAAAAAAAAAAAGAAAGAAAATAAGTGCTTAGAACAGTGCTTGGCGCATGACACACATTCATTAAGCAGCAGTTGTTATTATTACAAACTATGTCTCTGTTCACCATTAATTTAAACTGCATTTAAATTGCAGTTTGAGAGGTAGGCAAAGTTTTTGGAGGAACTAATGACATCAGCCTTCACTGGGGAGATGGATACACCTAATCAGAGCTGAAGAGCCAAGGAGGAACGCCACGGTTTTATTCTCGGCTTACTTGGAGATTTGCAACTGACACCTACCAGCCAGCAGACCGTAGTGAAGCAGGATGCTTAAAGACTAGTAATAATCATCTTTCATAAATATATGGAACACTTTCAGGTTTACACAGATTAACGCTGAGATGCACAATATGATTCTCATTTTACCAATGAAGAAAGTGAAGCCAGATTTTAAGTATTTGCTTAATTCCATGCACAATTCTCTTTCTACCAAAACCATATATTCTGATGGACTAGATTTTCTGGTTAACAAGGGCAGAAGTAACTACATTCTGTAAACTGAATCGTCCTGCTGAGTTCTAGTGAAACAAAAGCTTACAACATCATAAATAAAAAACCCTGCTTGGGGTGGAGGTGGTGGGCAAGTGTAAGCACCAGCATGGTCTCAGGGACCTGACAGAAGGAGGGTGGCAAGAGAAGGAATCAGGCAGATTAAGGGGCATGAAATGTGAAGAGAAAGACGGCTGAAGCCCCAGGTGCCCCGCCTGCTGAGCAGACAGATGGCTGCAAGTCCCAACGCTCTGATAAAAAAAGGAAAATTAATTTTTCCTGAATGGCCCTGGAGTACCAGCAGCTGACATCGGCAGGTGGATAACTGAGCCAGCCCTTGGGGTGGGGAGTGGGAGAGGGGGAAGAAGGGTGGGAACTTTCTTCTCAAGTAAGAAGGAAAACACTGGAGAATTCAATAGGTGTCCAAGAGTTTCTGGAAGTTCTACAGGCAAATGTGATCAAAGACCTTCAGGAGAAATGTGTCCCATAAGTGACAGCATCTATTGAACTCTAAAAATGAATGTGTCTGCACCAAGAAAACTAGATGTTCAGCTTCCAGCATGATAAACATTTCATATTTGAGTCACCTCTGCTACGCCTAACAAGCAGAGGCGGACGAGCTGCTGTGCCAAACGCTCCCAGATGCACACTCTCGGCAACTTGTTGCCATGCAGCATTGTATACAGTCACGCACCACGTGACGACGTTGCAGTCAACGACAGAACACACGAACAGAGGATGGTGCCAGAAGATCATGATGGAGCTGAAAAATCCCCATTGCCTAGTGACGTCTTGGGGATCCTGACCCTGTGCAGGCCTAGGCTGATGTATGTGTTTGGCTTGTTTTTAACAAAAAAGTTTTAAAAAATTAAAAACTTACAAAATGGAAAAAAGCTTACAGAATAAGGATAAAAAGAAAAAGTATTTACTTTTGGCTGGGTGTGGAGGCTCATGCCTGTAATCCTGGCACTTTGGGAGGCTGAGGCAGGAGGGTCGCCTGAGCCCAGGAGTTTGAGACCAACCTCGGCAATATAGTGAGACCCCTGCCAAGTAAAAGACAGACAGACAGACAGAAAGAAAGAAAGAAATTTTTGTACAGCTGTACAATATATTTGTGTTTTAAGCTGAGTGTTATTACAAGAGTCAAAAAGGTTTTTAAAATTTAAAAGTTTCTAAGGAAAAGAGCTGCAGTAAGCTCAGGTTAATTTATTTTTGAAGAAAGAACATTTATTTCTATAAATTTAGCATAGCCTACAGGTGCCTGAATAGAAAAAGCTTACAGCAGTGCAAAGTAACGTCCCAGGCCTTCACACTCACCCACTGACGCACCCGGAGCAACTTCCAGTCCTACAAGCTCCACTGATGGTAGATGCCCTATACAGAGGCACCATTTTTCATGTTTTACTCTTTCTATGTACTGTACTTTTTCTATATTTAAGTATTTTTAGATATACAAATATTTACCCCTGTGTTATAGCTGCCTACAGTGTTCAGTACAGAAACATGTTGTACAGGTTTGTAGCCCAGGAGCACGAGGCTACCCCTATACCATACACCCCATTGCTCCCAGGCTACAGACCTGTATACCATGCTACTGTAATGAATCAGCACACACATTTGTGTTCCCAGCAGCTGACAAGATTAATCTTCAGGATGCCAGGAAGGGACTCGGAGAAAGCTACAAGCTGGGGCCCTGGCTTCCCCGGTAAGAAATGTATGTCTGCATAGAGTTCCTCCAGACAGGCCTGCTCCCTGCCTCTGGAAGCCTGGCAGAGAGGAAACGCTTTCCATCCGTATTTCCCACTGGCTGGCATCATGGCGTGAAGAGGGGTGTGTGTGTGTGTGTGTGTGTGTGTGTGTGTGTGTGTGTGTGCGTGTGCGCGCGTGCGCGCACGTGCAAAGAGCTATCAGCTATTTCCAAAGACGACTCAGTAAATAAGAGCTTTTCTGTAAATCTGAGTATCTGAAGGACTTTTGTGGGGAAAGGTGTGAGGACATGTTTTCGTTTGGCATCAGAGTATGTTTGGCAGGGGCAATGGGTAGAAACCACAGGGGCGTAGATTGTTTTAGGTTTAATAGACAGAAAGACATTCTAACAAACTCATCCAATCATCAAATAATGGGCTGCTCTGAAAGTGGCCACGTCCCCACTGTGGGAGGTGATCCGCTTGAGACTGACAGATCTGGGATGCTGCAGGCGGAATCCAACATGAGGCGAGATACCCTCGGTGTCCCTCCCATTCCCAGAATTCTGCGACGATATCAACAGAATCTATAATGGTCTGCTAGAGTTAGGAAAGATAGTTCAATTCACCTTTCTCATTTTACACAGGAGGAAACCAAGGTGGATAGGAAGGGACTGGACCCGAGGCACCTGAGTCTATCTTTCCATCCCCTTATCAAAAAAGAGTCAGTCAGCAGGGGCAGGGAGGTTTGTTCAGCATTTCAGTGAAGAGAAAGGGGTGTTGGGAGATGGGAGGGAGGACAGTGAAGTACAAGTGGCTTCCATTTTCCAGGGCAGATGACACACTGGGCACCTCCACACTTCCCTGGAGAACCCAGGCTGGCTCGGAACACAGTCCCTAGGCCTCAGCACCAGGAGGCTGAGACCCACGGGAATGACACTGTGGCAGAAGTCAGCTGCTTTTGCAGTACATAGCAGGATGGGGTTCCTGTGACTGAAGGGGCAGACACGGAAACTCAGACTGGAAGAGCTTTCTACTGTAGAAAAGAGGTTTTTACTGTGGGAAAGAGATTTTCTACAGTAAATCTTTGCTGTCACCTTAGATGGATAAATGGATGGACGGATGGACAGACGGGGATGGCAGGACGGCAGTCAGGTAGGCAGGCAGGCATTATTCTAGTGCTTCCCTAGGGTAAGAGAAAGGTTCACCCGACTCAGGCTGCAGACATAAAAAAGTGAAACCCATGCCCTCTGATAATGACCAACATTCCCTCTATGGTGTAGAAGCTATGAATGGCCTGGCTGGATACAGTTTCCACTAAAACCTACACCACTGAGATTTCCCAATGATCAGAAGCCCTCAGCAACAGTCTGAGAGCAGCCATGCACGGCTGCCTTTAATTACACACTGATCACAGCATCACCAGGGCCGTCACCATGCTGGGAGGAAAAGCGATAACATCATTTTGCTGGAGAGAGCCCCACACGTCAGAGCAGAAATGCAGCCTTTGCCAAATGTGACTGTGGACAGAGATGAGAGATCCACTCGGACAGCGCTCAAACGCCAACGTAGGACCCTCAGTGCTCCTATAGGTTTGAATGAAAAGACTATCTTTAACATACACCTGTATACTGCAACCCACCCCGGCCCAAAAAAATAAATGGGACTCAGTGACCCAGGCTATAAGGTGGCTGGGTAGGAGACTGCAAAACATCTCAAGAGCTGCTATTTCCTAATTCAGGAAATAGAGGATGTGGTCTAAGAACCATCACTCCAGGACCTCAGGGGCAGAGGGGACAGGCAGGGGACTGAGCCCAGGAACCTGGGTTCTAGTCCTGACCAAGCGGCCCCGGGTGAACGCAACTTACCGAAAACTTAGTGTCTTCTACAAAACAAGGATAAAACCACCTGCGTTCTTATGTCACTGAATTAGTATGAGGAGCAAATTTAAAATATGAATGTAAAACCAATTTGCACACAGTTGAGCACCGTTCAAGCACACAGGACGACAGCACTGCTATAAGCCCTGGCCAGAAGCACACAAGGTGAAGTGGGCAGCTCACAGGACGCAGGGAGCTGCCAGGAAGGCCACTGCATGTCTGTCAAAGGGCATGGAGACTTCAGCCTGGACAAGAAAAATAAATAAATAAATAAAAACAAGCAGAGGTCCAAGGAGATAAATAACTTATTCTTTGTTTTAGACCATTTTTAGAAGTGGCGTCGAAGGGTAAAAACCTTCATCAGAAAGGCCTGGACCCAGAAAACAGGTTCTCAAACTGAGAAATGAGCACAGGATTGAGTGTCTAAAAGGAGATGATTACACTGCAACTCGTTCGAGTCCTAGGAGGCTGTCCACAAGCTTAGGCTTAGCTGCAGGCAGCCAATGGGATCCTTCAATCATACAGGTACAGCCTGCCACAGTGCCCAGGTGCCTCATCAGCTTGCTGTGGGGGCCAGGACAGAGAAGGGGCACTGAAGGGAAGAAAAAAGTGGAGGGAGAAACAAAGTGGGGTGTGACACTTTTCTTCTGGGGCAGGGGAAGGGGTGACATGTAGGGACAGGGGCATTACAAACTGAAGTTTGAGATGCTTTAATAATGGTGCTTCAAAAATCCTTGACCCCATATTGTTGGAAGCTATTTTCAGCTGGCAATTTACAAAACCACACATGGTCAGCTCCAATCTGGCCACAGTTTCTGCACCTTTGCCATTGGGCTTTCGGCACTGGTCTTCTGCACCATGGATAAGAGCACAAAGCCATGTTTTCCCACATGGGTAAAGGGTGGGGTAAGGGTGTGCACCTGCCTGTAACCTCAAAGACCGTGAAGAGAAAGGGGCTAGTGGCAGCTTCATCCAAGGCAGAAGGTGATTCCTTCCTGCACAGCACACTCCCTTTCTAGGCCAGGACAAATTCCTTCTGGCTTCAGAGGTGGTGCTGCTGCGCACTCTACATTTAACCTCTCCGTGCTCTGTAAATACTGCCTGCTTTGGCTTCACAGCACCAAGGAAAGTTATGGCTTGTATCGGACACGGAGAAAGGGAGAGGGCTCTGATGGAGCTGCTCTGTGCTTAGTATTATGTCATGTGTACATGACATCATTGTATTCTCAGCTACTTACTGAGTACCCTTAAGTAGGTCCTGAAGGCCAGTGATTCTCAAACAGGAGGAAGAGAGGGGTCATAAACCCTTGCAGGTCAGAACTGGCAGGCAGGCTTTATCAGACACACCCTTTCTGCCTGCATAGCAACATGTGAGTCCCAGATCTCAAATATGCCATGGAAGGGGAGGTTCTCGTTTTATAGCCCATATGCTGGGTGTCTCCCCATTTCACAGATGAGGAAACAGAGGCTTTAAGAGGTTTAAGTATGTTTCGCAAAGTCATTTGGCCAGTAAGTGATGGAGCCAGAAGTCAACCTCAATGACAGAAACTTTGCCAACATTTTAGTCTATCTCCACAATGGCAATAAGAGAAGCAAGTTATCTTCCCAGGAAATTTAAGTGATTTGGTTTTATTCCTGCTAGGGACTTCAGTTCCCTCCGCTTCATGCCATCATTTGAAAATAATAACCAAGCCTTAAAACTACAAGATGTAATTAGAGAGCTGGACACTGGCTGGAGGAATGGTTTCCGTGCCAGGCCCTACCTAGACTGGATTTGTGAGACTAGGAGGGGAGAGGCTGGGCAATATTTTACTAGTCAAGGGCCTGGTCCTTGACTAATAAGGTCATAGCCTTGCAGAGGGAGACACGCATTCATGGGAAGCGTCTGTCCTCCAAGCCTGAGGAGTGAGGGCCACAGCTGGGTGCAGGCGGCCCTCAGAGAGGCTTTATGGAACTGGCAGCATCTCACCTGTGCCTCGAAGAATGAGCAGGGCATATAGAAAAGTGGGCTGGAGGCCAGGTGCAGTGGCTCATGTCTGTAATCCCAGCACTTTGAGAGGCCGAGGCGGGTGGGTCACAAGTGAGGAGTTTGAGACCAGCCTGGTCAGCATGGTGAAACCCCGTCTCTACTAAAAATACAAAAATTAACCAGGCATGGTGGCGGGTGCCTATAATCCCAGCTACTTGGGAGGCTGAGGCAGGAGAATTGCTTGAACCTGGGAGGCAGAGGTTGCAGTGAGCCAAAATTGCACCACTGCAGTCCAGCCTGGGCAACAAAGTGAGACTCTGCCTCAGGAAAAAAAAAAAAAAAAAAAAGAAAGAAAGAAAGAAAGAAAAATGGGCTAGAGAGAGAGCATCCTAGTCAGAGAGAGAGCATCCTAGACAGAGGGAGAGCATCCTCAAGGGCCCCAAGTGTGGAAGACACCTGTGTGGGCAACAGCCAGGGGTTCAGTGCAGCTGAAACAAAAGTACAAGGGGAGCTGGTGAGAGGAGAGGTGGGTGCAGGGAGGGAGTAGCTGCCCCCAGTGTCAGGCTAAGGAGTTCGGCTTTTAAAATTAGTCCAATGTCTAGCATACAGCAGGTGCTCAGGAAAGCTGGAGACAGAGAGTCATCAGTTAGTTTGGGGACATGGAAGTGGGTAGGCGGTCCCTTGGCTGCAAAGCTCCCGGGTAGACAGTCCCTTGGCTGCAGAGCTTGGAGCTGCTAGTGACCCAGGAGACTACGTCTGATGTGAAATGAAATTGAAAGTCGAGCAGAGAGTCTGGCTAAGACCTTCTAAGAGGCGGAAAATGATGTGGAGGCAGGGAGAGGGAACCAGGCCCCCAGAGTCAGAATAGGCAGCAGGAAGGACATAAGGCCTGCTGCTTACGGATCTCTCATCTCTGTCCACAGTCACATTTGGCAAAGGTACCTCCACGTCGCAGGAGTGCAGCCACGGACGCTTTCACAGTGTGCTCAGCCGCTCAGCTGCAGGCATGGGGCCAGCCCTCTAGGCTATATACCTCTTGAGGGTGGGGTCTGTGGCTTGTTCAGAGCCTGGCCCTTAGCAGGTCCTGAAGAAGTAACTGTGGAATTCTTTACTAGATAAGCTCAGATGTGCCAAGATGATAAGACAAAGGCCCCTTCCCAAAAACACTCCCATGACTGAGGCCAAGCCCACATGAATCTCCTAAGTTTATCTTGGGTAATGCCAGGGCCAGGACACATAGGTGAGTTTCACAATGGGAGCCTGCGTTTCCATTCCATTCCCCTCACAGAGTTGGGGTGGGCTGGGCTTGGCTGTATTCACCAACAGTCCCTATGGACTTCTCCCAGATGAGGACCCCTCCCAGCTTCTGGAGATTCTGTGGCAGACATAATACAAGCCCATCCAGGAGGCATAAGGCGACATCTCCCGAGCCCTACGTGCTGGTCTAGGGAGCAACACCCTCTCTGCAAGACATCTTTAGGCTCTCTGGAGTACATGAACACAGGTGAGTCATCCTTTTACAGTCACAGGCTGAGAGGGTGCAGCCCTGGTGAGATTCTGACTTGTAGCTAATGTGCACTAAAAGCAGCTCTTGGGAATTTCTGAGACCAGCCAGAAATCAATGGTGACAATAAAGCATTTACACTTTTGAGCAGAGTTACCTCATCTCAACTTCGATTCCTTGATTCCTTCTGCATGGAATTATGGCCAAATCCCAGTGGTTAGTTCTCAAAATTAGCAAATTAGTCTATAGGCAACGTTAGCACCACCCAATAGAGAAAGCCTAATCCTTCCTATTCAACCCATGCCCAAATACCAGCTCCGGAGGTGGCACGGACTAGCAGAGGATGTGGGAGGCACCCTTACTGTTATGGACAGCATGTATGGCCCCCACCCAAATTTACATGTTGATGTCTACATTAGTCTGTTCTCACACTGCTATAAAGACATACCTGAGATTGGGTTGATTTATGTAGAAAAGAGGTTTAATAGACCCACAGTTCTGCAGACTGTACAGGAAGCATGGCCAGGAGGCCTCAGAAAACTCACAATCATGGTGGAAGGTGTAGGGGAAGCAAGCACATCTGCACATGGCAGCAGGAGAGAGAGTGAGAGAGAGAGTGAGAGAGAGAGTGAGAACAAAAGAGAGAGAGCACAAGAAGGGGGAAGCACTACACACTTTTAAACAACTGGATCTCATGAGGACTCATTCACTATCACGAGAAGAGCAAGAGGGAAGTCTGCCCCCATGATTCAATCACCTCCCACCCAGCCCCTCCTCTAACACATGGGGATTACAATTCAATATGAGATTTGGGTGGGGACACACAGCCAAACCATATCAACGTCCTAACCTCCAGTGGGATGGTATTCGGGGGATTTGGGGGAGTTATTAGGTCATGAGGGTGGGGCTCTCATTATGGGATTAGTGCCCTTATGAGAGACATGAGAGAGCTTGCCTCACCTCTCCCTACCTCTGCTCTCTCCATCATAAGAGGATACAAGACGGCCATCTGCAAACCAGGAAGTAGGCCCTCACCACATACCTGATCTGCCAGCACCTTGATCTTGGACTTCCCAGCCTAAAGAACTGTGAGCAATAAATTCTGTTGTTTATAAGCTACCTAATCTATGGTGTTTATTACAGTAGCCTGAACTAAGACACTTGGTAAGATTCATCTATACAGTCAGGGCACTTTTACTCTTTACCTTGAAAGTCCAGTCAAAAGCCAAATTCCAGTGCAAGAATAGTCCAACACTCCCCTTCCGGCTCTAACAGATGATAGGTCCAGATACACTGTGTTACGTGGCTCTGAAACAATTCCAAATACTTGCATAGTTTGCTACGTGAGTGTCATATGTTTTTCTATGATAAGAACTTGGAGTGAACTCTCCTTCCCCTTGAGAGAAAATGTTACATCATCAAATCTTATAAGACCCCGTATATGACCTCAACTACTGGGCTTCAAATTACGTATAAACTCAAGGCTTTGACATTCTAAGACCTCAGGCTATGGCAGGGCTACACTGCCAGCCACCTCTCTCAGGTGGCAAGTTTATGCCAAAATGAGGCCACACTCTTAACCGCCTCTTCAAAGACCGAGAGCTCAGTGGGGTCACACTCCATTAGCCTTTGAGCAAATCTCAGAACCCTTGCCAGCCAGCGCCAGCCAGCCAATGCTCTGGGAATCTAACGTGTTGTCCAGCATCTCCACTGTGTGGGTCATCTCTCCCAATGGCCACCTGTGTAAAGGTACCCCTCACACTTTAGTTAGACTTTACTTCCCACAGAGGGCTGCTTCCCGCCTAATTGAGCGACTAGACTCTAGTAATTTTGGAAGCCACTCACTCCATGGCTAATGCATTCCCTGAGAGAATTGTTCTCATTATTCTGCCCCTTTTTAGGCATTGTGAACCAAAGGAAAACAAAATCTCTTTGTGTAGCAATAAACCACGTGATTCATGTAATCACAACTTTGATTATCTCCTTATTTCAACCATAGAGAACACGATGCTGACCCCAGCGGTTATTTCTGACCCCAAATATGTAAGCCCTCCACAGCCTCTCTCCCCTGCCTTGGTTCCCTCCCCAGTCTCTCCTCTTCCGACCCTCCCTGCTCCACCACATCAAGCTTAGGTTTGCTGGTGTCTCCCGAGGCCTGGGACAGCCCTGGGTCACACTTGTTGTCCTAGTGCCCCCTCCCCAACCTTTGTTATCAAACGTGTTCTAGTTTAAACAATATATGAATGGTAACTATTTCTCATGATGTTTATCTTTACTTACTATGGTGGGCAGGCAGATCTAGAAAATGGAGTCTTCGGTGGCAGGGTCTCATTCAGACTGCTCACACTTTGGTTCCCCCTCTCCTTCCTTTTCTTCCAATTTTATCCCTCCTTTTGTCCCTGAAGGAACTTACCTTAGCTGGCAAAGACACCAAAATGTATCCTATGAGAACCGTAAGCCTGCTGTAGGTGTACCACAAATTCAGCTATAAGTTTTCTATTAGTCAACTGAAAAAAGGGGCCACCTAATTAGTTGTACAGAAGGAAAAAATAAGTTATCCAGGAGAAATACAACTATTCCTGACTGTAGACCATTTTCAGATGGGCCATCAAAGAGGCCACTTTGTGATGCCATTAGCAATGCCCTCAATGGCACCGCCGAGCAGGCAGCCGGGGCTGGGGCTGGGGTGCGTATGCACGCTGGGGTCTTCATGCGGCCAGCCCGCCCAGGCTTGCTTGGGAGGCAGCGCCGAACAGGGAGGATGGTGAAGTGGGAAGCAGTGAGGATATACCTGCCACATCACGCCCAGGCTGCTCCCTTCCCTCCTTCTCTCTCTTCCCTTTGGATTTCTCTCCCTCCATTCCTCCCTGGCCAGGCCTTCAACCTCCCAAAAGCATCTTCGGGCACCGAGAGGAGTTTAAAGATGCTCTTATACACATTCGACCTCTCAGACAATTAAAGTAATTGCACCTCTAAAAATGGTGAGTCTGGGGATCTTTTCATTTTCTTTCAAAATTGCATTTCTGGACACGAATTATGCTTGGCCTTGACATTTAGTTATTAGCTAAATCTGAGGTTAGGTAGAGAAACATTTGATGGAATTTTCAATTACCAATAAAAATCAGCTATTTCAAGTAACAGGAGAAAATGTTGGGAAAAAACAAAGTTGGAGTGCCCCTAAACAAAACTCTAGGGGTCAGTTCCCAAGAGCAGCCAACCAAAGCCTTGCGGGGTGCAGCCCACGGTGGGAGCATTTGGCCAGTTTTTTGCCTCAATGATCCTTTAAACCAGAGGTCTCAACCTGGCCATTCTTGGGCTCAGTCTGGTGCACAGATGTGGTTTTTTGGCCAGCAGATTGTCTGCTTAATTGTCGATATTTTGAAATCAGAAGCTTTTACGTTAACAACACAGAGTTCCGGCTTCTTTTGAAAAGAAAACAAATCAGAACATCTGGTAACACTGGGCCCACATTCACACAAAACAAAACACAGAACCATCAGAAACACTAGCCAGGAGCCAGGGCACAGAAGGGTTTTCAATCAACTGCTTTCCTTTCCTCTCTTCTACAATCCATTTTTAAATTGTAAAAACGTGTCTTACTTCCTGGAGGCATTTACCTGAAATTAAACTGCTGCAGGCTGTACCCTCAGTTTCTGAATCACATATGGGCTCTTCTTGTACCTGTTGCAGTATGTTACATTTACTAGATGATCACCTTTTCTTTTGAGAGCTAACCAAATGTTCTCTCATTATATATATATATATAGATAGATATATATAGATATAGATATATATAGATATAGATATAGATATATATATAGATATATATAGATATAGATATATATATATATATATTTATTTTTTATTTTTATTTTTTTTTTGAGATGGACTCTTGCTGTCATCCAGGCTGGAGTGCAAGGGCGAGATCTTGGCTCACTGCAACCTCTGCTTCCAGGTTCAAGCAATTCTCCTGCTCAGACTCCCAAGTAGCTGGGATTACAGGCACCCGCCACCACGCCCAGCTGATTTTTGTATTTTTATTAGAGACGGGGTTTCACTATGTTGGCCAGGCTGGTCTCAAACTCCTGACCTTAAGTGATCCACCTGCCTGGGCCTCCCAAAGTGCTAGGATTACAGGCATGAGCCACCGTGCCTGGCCAACCGCCCACTCCACTCCATCTCGAGTGTGATATGGCATGTGGACCGGGGACTGGGCCTCTTCTAATCTGATCGGTGCAAATGGCTGGCTAATCACATGCCATCCAGGTATTCCTGGGGTTGATTTGTGGGTTTTTTCATCCACAAATCTCTCCCAGATTCTGGCTGGCAAAGGGGGTCAAACGGTTCCTCCTTTTTTTTTGAGACACAGTCTTGCCCTATCGCCCAGGCTGGAATGCAATGGTGCAATCTCGGCTCACTGCAACCTCCGCCTCCCGGGTTCAAGTGATTCTCCTGCCTCAGCCTCCCGAGTAGCTGGGATTAAAGGCACGTGCCACCACACTTGGCAAATTTTTTGTATCTTTAGTAGGGACGGGGTTTCACCACATTGGGCAGGCTGGTCTCGAACTCCTGACCCCGTGATCCGCCCGCCTCAGCCTCCCAAAGTGCTGGGATTACAGGTGTGAGCCACTGTGCCCGGCCAAACAGTTCCTCCTTTCTGTTTCAGTTTCCCCTGCACCAAAAGGGCCTCAAGGATTCTACTACTCCTTTTATGCAGAAGTGTGTTTCCTTGATCCTCTGTGTGATGCCTTTAACCTTGGGCAGCAGCTAAAAGGGTGTGAGATGTGAGTAGAAAAGTGGCCCGCAAGACCAAGGTCACACTCCGTACCCCTCCTAAACCCTGCCAACATCTTGGCAGGAAGGTACCGGCAGAAGAAATAGGGGTGCCTTTTCTCTGCTCTGGTTATTCTTTGTAAATAATATGATTCACCCTTATGTCTCTACCTTGCTTAGACGCAATCTTCCAGGCTCTCTGAAAGCTGAATACCAATGAGCTGCAATTATACATCATCAGGAACATGAAAGTCCTGTTCACTGCTACCCAAGTGAAGAGCTAGAATTATCCTGCTTTCTTTAGAGTTCCAAGTTCGTGATCCTTGGGCCGGTCAACATAGGATGGTCCTAGCAGCAAAGGAAAGGATTTCCATGCAGAGACTGGGCTTGATTTTATTGAGAGAAGCAGCGGGCTTGTTTGTGTTTGTTTTTTTAACAGAGCCAAGGAAGATCAAGTGGAAGCCACGTGAATGGGCACCTCACTCCACGGTTACCAGCATTGATGGGGCCCTGCGAGCATCTCTGTGAAGCCACATGAACGGGCACATCACTCCACGGTGACTGGCACTGATGGGGCCCTGCGAGCATCTCTGTGAAGTCACATGAACGGGCACCTCACTCCACGGTGACTGGCACTGATGGGGCCCTGCGAGCATCTCTGTGAAGCCACATGAATGGGCACCTCACTCCACGGTGACCGGCACTGATGGGGCCCTGCGAGCATCTCTGTGAAGCCACATGAACGGGCACCTCACTCCACGGTGACCGGCATTGATGGGGCCCTGCGAGCATCTCTGTGAAGTCACATGAACGGGCACCTCACTCCACGGTGACCGGCACTGATGGGGCCCTGCGAGCATCTCTGTGACTTCACATTTCTGAAAGTCCATAGAATCCACCAGCCTCATAATGAGCGCTCGTCTACAGACGCAAGGACACCGCAGACATCCAGGCAAATCACGACATACTACGCCAATTCTGGCTCAGCTTCCTCTTTTACAAACAGTGATAGAGCAGTCCCCAAAAGGCAGACGGCTGGGTTCCTGGATCAAAACACTCCTTTGGGCAGCTCCTTGATGCTGGAGTCAATTCTGCTACCATGAAATAGAAGATCACAGGGGTTCTCTATGATCAACAGTAAGCAGCTCATTTAAAGAAGTCACCTAAGGCAGGAGGAGGAGACAGATGTTCAATTCAACCCCAGGCTCAGATTAAAAGTTTGATATTTCTATAAGAGCCAATTCTGCTGCTACCCTGGAAGCAGAGGGATGGGAACTTCAGATCCGTTTCACTTAGGAACCCACAGAAGAAATGCAGTCCTGTGGCTGAAGTCTGCACCTGAGATGGCCATGGAGCCATATAGAAATTCCCTTCATGTGGGGCTGGTCACGCTCAGCTCAGTCCTTTCCACACGTGGTTTGTTACAGAAGGTCCCTCTTGTACACATGCCACTGGGATTCAACTGTGCTATTTTGCTTTTTTTCCCCAGGAAGATGCTTACAGATAAGCCTTTCTGCTGCCTGGATTACAAATAAGGTTCTTTCAATGCGATGATGTTTATTTGGCATAGGAAACAGATTGCAGCAATGCAACAAAGCACACAGTCCTGCGGGCCCATCATCCGCCGCTGTGCCTCCACTGTAGCCCTGTCCAGACCCACGTCCCACTGCAAGCTCCTGGAGGACAGGGTCTGGTTTCTCTCTACTGCATAGCCAAACCCTCGGCAAATGCCTGCCCAGTGAGCTTTCTATTCGGGCACAGAGTTTGGTCTATCCCAAGAGCACTCTTAGAGGCTACGCCTGCATTGCAAAGCCAAACACCACTCCGAGAGACTTTTCAGAGGAAAGAAGGGAATGTGATACCCACTTCTTAGCATTTTGAAGGCAGAACTCCATTTTTGTTTGTTTGGTTTCTTTTTTTAGAGACAGGGTCTCGCTATGTTGCCCAGGCTGGAGTGCATGGCTAGTCACAGGCGTAATCCCATTACTAATCAGCACAGGAGTTTTAACCTGCTTCATTTCCAGCCTGGGCTGCTTCATCCCTTCCTAGGCAACTTGGTGGTCCCCCGTTCCCAGGAGGTCACCAAGTTGATGCCAAACTTAGTGCAGACACCCACAGAATTCCTGGGCTTAAGTGACCCCCCTGCCTCAGCCTTCCAAGTAGCTGGAACTACAGGTGCAGGCTACCATGCCCAGCTGAAGGCAGAATATTAAGCTGAGGGAGAGGTGAGCCACTCAGTAAAATTTACAGTTCCTACAGCAAAAAGTCTATGTATCTTGTCCATGGGATATCTCTAAACAGCAGTACTGACTCAGTGTTGACACCGCAGGCATTTGCGTTTTCATTAAGTTTTATCTACCCTATCTCCCTCACGTTATATCTTCCTTGAAAGCAAGAGGCATGTCTTCTACTTCGTAATTCCTCATGGGACCAATCCTATGGCTCACACACACAATGAGCCAAATAAAAAACTGAGAATAGGCTGGGCATGGTGACTCACACCTGTAATCCCAGCACTTTGGGAAGCCCAGGCAGGTGGATCACCTGAGGTCAGGAGTTCGAGACCAGCCTGGCCAACATGATGAAACCCTGTCTCTACTAAAAATACAAAAATTAGCCAGGCATGGTGGTCAGCGCCTGTAATCTCAGCTACTTGGGAGGCTGAGGCAGGAGAATCGCTTGAACCCGGGAGGCGGAGGTTGCAGTGAGCCAAGATCACACCACTGCACTCCAGCCTGGGCGACAAGAAAGAAACTATGTCTCAAACAAACAAACTGAGAATAACAAACTTTCCCATGGACTGTCTTTACAAACAAAAACTGAATGTGAAAGTAACTTCTCTAAGACCAGTAATGGGACTACAGAGCCTGACTTAGCAGCTGGCCAGCACCGCGGAGGAAACGCCCTCTGACTACACATCTGTTCCTGCATTCACTCAACAAACATCGAAGTGCCTGGCATTGGTCTGCACGGCATAAACAGAACAGAAGGGCTGCCTCCCAGTCCCACCCCTTCCACGCATTCACTTCCTCACTCATTCTTTCAGGAGACACCTGTGTCAGGCACGACGTGGTGAACTTTTAAAAACGGATTCAGTAGTACCAAAATACTCATAATGTGCAGACAGACAAAAGAACTGGAAGGAGTCGTGTTTTCAGACACAGGAAGCTTTTCACGTGCTCCACCTGGACCTCATCTCTCAGCCTCACACTCCGATCTTCAGCAGCCCCCGCTATGCGCCCGAGTCTTGGGACGTCATCCCGGAGCTCCTAGCCTGCCCGGGAGGCAGAGCCATCAGGTAAGAGACGGTCACAATGACAGCAACACAATCCCGCTTGGGTTCTCTGTACAGAGTTTTCCTTTTAAAATACCTTTTCCACTGATGTTATTTAAAAATAACAACCTCAGAGTAGACTTCTGATCTCTACCACAGGGCAGGTACATCCCTCCCTTTTTATGAGTAATTCCTGCAGGGGTTATAGCACGGCCTCCAGGTCACACGGGCTACACAAAAACACTTAGCCCAGTTTTCTAACTCCCAGGGAGTGAAGGAATCACTATTTTAAAAGGTGGCAAGCTTTTTTCTCCTTTACTCAGATTTAACTCTGATAGAAACTGACAGGCTCAATCTTGGTTAATTTTTTTTTTTTAAACACGAGAACAAGGTTCAAGAAATTCATCTTCAGGTGTCAGAGAGACGAAAAGAACCCAATAGCTTTTATCTTCAAGTCCTACATTTATGCATCTCGTAATGAGGGTGATGGCTGGTTCCCTTACAACGGAGGGCTTCATGCCTAGTGAACAACGGACCTGAATTTATATCAGCCATAAAGCCTTCCAGACGTGACGGTCACGCTAACATCCTGACATGAGGCAATCTGCAGAGAGATGGAAAGTGTGCTTGGCTAGAGGTTAGTGCTGCCTCTCTCTATTTTCTTCCCTTGTACCAACTGATTTCAGACTGAGGAACTTGAAGACAGAGTGACACTATGAGCTCATATAACTCTCCTCAGCTCTAAACTCGGCCACAGCAGATGTGTTTTTAAGAAACTAATAGACTGAAAATGACATTTACAGACGAAATGCTGTGACGACTGAGATTCGTTTCAAAATAATCAGGGGAAGAGGAAAAGTGGGTGGGAGGAGACATAAAACAAAGATTGGCTAAGGGCTGATAGTTATTGAGGCTGCATGGATATTATAATATTGGGGCATCCAGAAATATTACATGATGCTTTCTACTTTTGTATATGTTGAAAGGTTTTCATAGTAAAAAGAAAAATCATACCAAGAGACCAGCAACATTTATCAAAGAAGGCTGACTTAGGTATAAGGATGGTCAAGATACACTGTTAAGTGAACAAAAAAAGATGTACAAAGGTATAGAGAGTTTATTTACATATACACACACACACCCCCTGATAAAAATATAGAAAATTTCTGGAAAAATAATAACCTCCATATGCTATTCAAAACAAAAATGTATCACTTTTTAATGATGAGTTTTAGATAACAATTGTTTTCATCCGATGGGGGGGCAACAGGAGGAAAGGGCATAGTCGGCTTGAAAATGAGATAAACATCTCCATGGGCCAGGAACAGAACAGAAACCATATTGGAGATCAGGGCTAGAGCCATGGCTGGAACCTGGAAGCAAGCAAAGGGCCAGATGTTCACCCTCTGTGCAGCGTAGCAGGGACCAAACACCCCACGCACGGGGGAAAGTGGAAGCCAGGCTCAGTGAAACAGGGAGTGGGGGCTGCCTCGGGCACAGTCCTCGGTCTCTCCCCCTGTCCTCGTCCCTTCCTCCTCTGCTGCAACTATACTGCAATCTACATTCGTCCCTCCCCCCATCTTTGATCCCCTGGTTTCCAATATTCTCTGGGATATTAAAATGTTCTTCACTATTGCGGACTAGTTATTTTCTCTTTGTAATACTGTCTGTTTCTGTTTTGCAAATACCTTACAATGTTTAGGGTAAAGCCATAAAAACTGGTCTGTATAGATAAGACACTATTAATAAATGTATGATGGTAATTTCCGCAGAAGCGGGAAGGAGGGAAACACAGTACCAACACCCTAGCTAGCTGCGAGGAAGCCGGGAGATAACATATCCAGCGTTTTTGTCTTCCATAATAGGAGGCAGGCTTCTATGGCAGAGAATTCCCAAATTCTAGGAAAGGGGTTAAGATGCTGAGAAGCCAAAAGATGAGCAATAATTTTGCTAAGTTGTCAGCAGCCCCAACCGTACATATAAGGAAACTGAGGCTGAGGTTAAGTGACTTCCCTAGGTTCACAGAACTTATCAGTGGCCAAGCTGGGACTGTGGATAACGCTGCCACCACCACCCAGGAGTGCTGCTCGTGCTAGGCACCATAAATACATTATCTGATTCAATCTCCCTCAACTCTGCCACATATAGTGTTATAATCTCCATTTCTCATGAGCTAAAGAGACTAAGGCTCAGAGACGTCAAGAGACTTGCCCAAGGTCACACAGCAACTGAGTGGTAGAGGTAGTCAGTCCACACCCTCCCTTCTTCCCTCTGTGCTGGCGCTCACTCCCTCCCCAACACTCCCCTGGGAGCCCAGCACCAGTCCTTGGAGTGGGATGACGCAGCCTGCAGAGAAGCTTTCCTTCCGAGCGTCTGGAAGAACCCGAGGCTGGCACAGCACCATCAGCAAATAAAACCATGTGACTTAAAAAGGTGAACGAGCGGACATGATTAAAATACTTAACACAAAAGCGAATTCCCGCCTGGTGGCATGTTATCAGCAGCTGACAGGAATAGCCTGCCGCTTCCTCCTCAGGGTGGGCCGGGGCTCACACAGCACACGGCTGCCCGCAGAGCCTGGGGAGAATGAAACCGGAAGCCTATGCCGCCACCAACAAGCTCCCATTCAGAGGATCCTCAGGCGGCCAGCTCCACAAAGTGACCATAACAAAGGGCCACAGCCCACATACGCACACACTCACACACATATGCACACTCTCACACACTCACATACACACACACTCACACATACGCACACTCTCTCACACACTCTCACACACACACACACTCTCTCCCTCTCCCTCTCCCTCTCTCTCTCTCCATCACTCCAGGGTCAGCAGGAGCCCTGAAGCCTGAAGCCAAGCCATGACCAGGCCTCCTGGTCCCAGTGGCCTCCCCAAATGACCCAGTCCACAGTTGGGCTTCCTAACTCTACAGAGTGGTGACCTCAAGCCTGGAGCCTCACAGAGACCTTGAGGGCTGCCTCCCACCCCCTCCCTCTCTTACCCTGGTTTCCCTGCAAGCTCCCCTTCCGTCCCCTTTGTTCCTGTTCACTCCAGGATCTTGTAGGAGAGCCAGATCACCTGCTGCTGCTAAAAAGGGAAGTTTTACAATCGTGGGTAGAGGTGGGCAGCCAGATTTAGGAAAAAAGCGGGATATCTGTTAAAATTTAAATTTCAGGGTCAGGTGTGGTGGCTCATACCTGTCATCCCAGTACTTTGGGAGGCTGAGGCGGGCGGATCACTTGAGGTCAGCAGTTCGAGACCAGCCTGGCCAACATGGCTACTAATAACACAAAAATTAGTCAGGAGTGGTGGCTCTGCCTGCAGTCCCAGCTACTCGGGAGGCTGAGGCAGGAGAACTTCTTGAACCTGGGAGGCGGTGGCTGCAGTGAGTCAAGGTTGTGCCACTGCACTCCAGCCTGGGCAACAGAGAGAGACTCTGTCTTTAAAAAATAAAAAAATTAAAAAAATTTAAATTTCAATATACAATAAACAATAAACAATTATTTAGTATAAATAATTGTTTAGATAAACAATAAACAATTATTTAGTATAAATAAACGATTATTTATAAACAATAAACAATAACAATTATTTAGTATAAGTATGTCCTGTGCAATATTTGGGACATATTTAACATACAAAACACTTATTTGTTATTTATGTGAAGTTCCATTTAATTGGGTGCCCTGTATTTTAAATGGCAACCCTATATGCC
The DNA here is from genome assembly GCF_000001405.40 of Homo sapiens. Lineage (NCBI taxonomy): Eukaryota > Metazoa > Chordata > Mammalia > Primates > Hominidae > Homo > Homo sapiens. The sequence continues at coordinate 195,151,802 of NC_000003.12, forward strand.
TGGGGGAGGGATTGATTAGGAGAAGCCCAGAGGAACAAAGCGACTGGTAAAGAAAACACAAAAGAGGAGTGAAGATTAAGGGAGGGAGGGAGGGAGGGAGTGACGGAGGGGAAATGCTCTTTAATGAGGGTCTCTCTCACAACAGAAACTTCCACTATTACTTCATTTGAGTTCTCCAGTAATTCTCTGTGTTAGAGATATGTATCCCACTTACAGACCAAACAACAGAGGGTCAGAGAATCCAGTGACTCACAAAGTGTCACATGGGGAATTCACTTCTGAGTACGACCGAATGCTATTTCCTCCACATCAAGCTTCTTCGCCTGCTGCCACACCTTTAGAATTGTTATAGGCTGCACATAAAGAGGGCACAGCCGTTTACTTTTCTAATACTTTCATGAGGAAACAAATTCAAAATGGCACATCTTTACAAAATACAGTTGTCTATCTTTTAGATTCTCCTCTTGGCCCCTTATCCCAACTAAACACATCACCACTGAGGACCTGTCCAGGGGTTTAGCTCCTGATGAAGAGACAGAGAAAAGGTCAGAGAAAGGAAGGGTGACGCTCCATCCAAGATGACTACAGCGCTATGATTTCCAGATGGGGAAGGTCACGGATGCTGGACGCAACAGAATCTCAACAGGGACCCGAGAGAGAGAGGCTCCTCTCTCCCTACACTAATATCCCACGATCCCTGTGTCACTTTCCAGAACACACTGTCAGTTCCATGGACCTAGGATTATAAAATCCTGTAAGATTTATACAGAAAATATAAAAATCTGGGGAGGGGGAACTGTGAAACAATGTGAAAAAAACTATTTGTCAAATGGACAGTGGGGAATAACTTCTCCTCCCGCACCTCCTCCAAGCTTCTAACAACACTCATGGCACACAATACAGAGGAGACTGCCATAAAAATGACTTAAAATGTGCCCTTTTGAGGTAAAGTAACTATGGGACAAGTGACTATAAAAATGACACAGCTGGGGAGATCCAAATCTATTCCTGCTCAGCAAGTTTCCAGATTAAAATGTGTCTGCTTACCTAGTCAAGATTTGGTTTTGTGCTGTTTTGTGTTTAAATTTTCCTTTCATATAGATGCTAGCATGTTCTTCTTAAAATAAAACACTTGTCCACCTCACTCCCCTCTCTGGGGAGACCCCTTGGTGGTCAGAGCCCACTGCCAGTTCCATGGAAGTCCCAGGCAGGGGCAAGAGGGGACCTCTGTGGGAAGCAGTCTGACGGCCGCAGCAATGGCCAAGCCCAAGGGCCGAGACCGCCTGCTCAAGAGAAAGGCGGGCTGCGCTGTCCCTGCTTCCTCTCTCCCCTTCCATTCCCATCCTCTTCCTTCTCTCAGCCTCCCCACCCTAGCCCCACTGCCAGCCAGGTGAACACTCCAAAGCAGCAGATAATTAATGCCGGATCTCCCAGGTCCCCAGAGGTCCCCAGTCTTCTTGTGAAAGAAGGCAAAAAACATGCTCAATTCCTTGTCGGCCAGCCAGTACCAAGCCATTCCCAGCCCCAGCATGAGACTGCAAACGTTACAAGGCAATTCCCCAGAGCCAGCGGGGCACGCGGCAGGCAGTGCAGGGCTGTCATCTGCAGACTCCATTATTAAAGGTCTCTGGAAACATTTCAGCTGAGGGGTGGAGGGAGGGAGCATGAAAAGGAGTATAAGTCTCTGTTGATTTTTGAGTGCCCAGGCCCTGCAAACGCCATTCTTCAGACTCTGCTGCAGCGGAGGTCTCATGGTTATCATAGTACATAATGAAAATTAAAGATGCTCAGGGTTAGAAAAACTCAGTTTCATTTCGAATCTAAAATCTTTCAGAGCTTTCTTTCAGGAAGTCCAGATAATTAAACTGATTTTAAGTTGCACTGTTTATAAAATCCTAGATCTACAGAAAATACAAATTCTGGCCAATCCTGTCTAAGCACGATGGGTTTCCAAGTTTCCATTTATATCACATGAGAAGATTCCAAAGCAGGCCTTGAAGGCATTGGCGCTGTAACTGCATTTAATACTTAGCCCAGTTTAAACACCCCATGACGTCAGTTCTCCCCGATCCCTGAAGAGCTCACCAGCAGACAGGCAACTTCCAGACGGAGGGAGGACAATGAGGGTCCGAAGGGCTGTAACCCCCAATGCCAGAGCCGGGGAGCGGGGACTTAGAGCTCAGCTCTTCTCCTTCTCAGGTGGGGGAACAAAGGCCCCAAGGTGGCAGAGCTGGGACTAGTATCTAGGGCTTGGGACTCTGAGGCTCCCTGTATTGTTACAGTAGGTAGCTAGTCAGACATGAGCAGGGCAGGAGAGGGCTCCACCACCACCAGGAATGTCAGGCGACCATCAGCTGATGGTCAGGCAGTTGTCAACCGTCTCTCTAAAATGATAATTGGATGCAGCCAGCGCCAGGGAAAGGGAGGGTCCCAGTAGATAGAAAGAACCTGGAACTGACGACCAGCAGCTTCCTGGTAAGATTTCAGGAGTTGGGCACGTGGGCTCAAGCATGTGCACTAGGAGGCAAAACGGTGGCACTAGGAGGCATGTGCACTAGGAGGCAAAACCCTCCTCTAGGAAGGCTGGACTGGTAAGGGAAGAAACCAGGAAATAAATCACAGAAACAAACCATCTGGTAAAGAAAACACAAAGAGGAATGAAGATTAAGGGAGGGAGAGAGGGAGGGAGGGGAAATGCTCTTTAATGAGGGTCTCTCTCGCAACAGAAACTTCCACTGTTACTTCATTTGAGTTCTCCAGGGAGCGCGTGCACAACCTCGGTAAACACACTGCGCTCCCTCCCAAGGGCTTGCAGGCCACCCTCAGGGAAGAACCGGGGGAGGAGTAACGCAAACCCCAGAACCACGCCAATGTACAAAACCCCAAGTCAAAAGTCACACAGCACGTTTGATCTCCAAGTCACCCACTGGCCCTCTCCCAAGTGTACTTTATTTCCTTTCATTCCGGTCTAAAGCTTTTTAATAAACTTTCTCTCCTGCTCTAAAACTTGCCTTGGTCTCTCACTCTGCCTGAGGCCCCTCAAATTCTTTCTTCTGAAGAGGCAGGAAGTGAGGGTGCTACGGACCCATATGGATTCACTGCTGCGACCACTATCACCTCCCTCTGTTGGACCAAGGACCCCAGCAGATCTTCCTGGTATGAAGGGGAGGGAAGAAGGTGGGGAGTCTTCTACAGTTAAGATGGCAGGTGTCTGCCCAAACCCTCTCAAGTCGCCAACCCCTGACCTCAGAGGAAGAGGCCTACCCAGTGACTCTGGGGCCACACGTGAGAGGATTATATAAGGGAGAAAAGTCCACACGGCCCAAGGAGTTATCAGCTCATTTAGGGGCCTTGCAGGAATTTCCTGTTATGTGATCTGGGTCATGCAAATAGCCACAACCGAGCTGAAGCTGCCTCTTCACCCCCTCTTTCTGAGGGGAAACACAGGCTCTTGACTCACTAGTTGCCTGTACTCTGCAGCTCTCCAACGACTGGGCCTCCCTCCAGGAAGGTCGGCAGGGAGCCAGCATCACGGTGTGCACTGAGAACAAAGAGCGGGGCATGCCTGCGGGACAGCAAAATCCCAGCCCTTTCCGAACAAACTCGGCAGCTCTGCTCTGGGTGTGCTATCGCTCTACCCGCTGGAGAAACAGCCAGCAACATGAAACTCTCCAGGCCCAGGGCCACAGGCCTGGTTTATTGTAATCAAAACCCGCTTCAGCTGTTCCTTTCCTTTTTTTTTTTTTTAATTACAAGATGTAGAACAAGAACACACAAAAAAGTGCATGCAAACATGAAGCTAAGCTAAGTGGGGAACTGAGACCTTGCAGCTCTCCAGAGCCAACCCACCCCCACGCCCCCCACCGCCTGCCACGCCGGCTTTGGGAAGCATCACCCCCCTTCTCCTTTCCCATTCTCCGCACCTGCACATGTGCATCCCTAAAGGTTCCAGTTTGGTTTCGCTCTCGTCGCATGGAGCCGTTCCCTTTTTTGCTGTTGCTGTATAGCACTCAACTGAATGAATGCGTTTTATTTATCCATTCTGCTAAGTAGCAAATTTGAGTCGTTTTCAGTTTTGGCTACTACAAATAACGCTACAGTGAATATTCCAGAATGGTTCTCAGTCCTGGAGTTTCTCCATGACACAGGCTTGACAATCAAATGCAGCATCATGCGGAATGCGCTTCTTCGTGCTGACTACTGATGCCAGTCTGTGTTCTGACGTCTTCCCTCCCTACAAGACCACCAATCCACCCACTCTGCTAATAGAGAATGGGGGTCACTGGTGACTCACAGGCCAAGAAAGCCCAGCTGGTCAGTAGAAGGGAAGTTAAATCTTCCTCCGTAAGGCAAAGCCCAAGATTTTAAAATTCTGAGCTTAACCAGATCCAACAACCAGAACAACTGGGCTTTTCAGAAGAAAAAGGCCACAAACTCCAACAAAATAATGAGGTAGCACCTACGGCTTGGGATAGACCCACCTGCCCATACAATCAACTGTAAGCAATAAGTACCAATGTGTTCCCAAGATACTAAGTGCAGAAGGATCGGACGCCACTAAATCCCAATCTGTCACGGCTGGCAGAAGAGAGAGGGTGAAGGGTGGGGAGGGGTCGTGGAGGCGGCCCCCCTGCAGTCATGACGCACCTGTAAACTGGCTGCATCTCCCGGGCTATGCCGATGATGGCGCCTGGCAGGAAACTGTCAAATTCCTCAAACAACTCCCGGATGTTGGTCTTAAACTTCAGGTCTAGGTCCAGCTGAATGATCTGCAGGATCTCTGCGGGAAAGAGAAAAGGACAATGAGACACAGGTACACCTCCTGGGAGGCTCGGCCACGGACAGAAAATGAAGTGGAGGGCAGAGAAAAGGGCACTGGACTCTTACTGTTGTCAGTGAATGATGCACAGTTACCGCTGGAACAAAAGGCCTTTCATCTACCAGCAACCCCTCCACACTATTAGTCTTCACAAACGACTACCCGTGTCTTTTCTTCCAACTGCAGACATCCATTTTGCTTAAAACTAGGCGACCACACGCTCCAGTGTCGGCCTGCTGTCCTGATGTAACTGTTAACCGTGCACCATTTCACTCTCAAAAGTATCTCATTTGGATGATACCTTATGTGGACACCCTGCTTCCCTACATAAAACTCAAAGCGGGCCGGGCACAGTGGCTCACATCTGTAATCCCAGCATTTTGGGAGGCCGAGGCGGGTAGATCACGAGGTCAGGAGTTTGAGACCAGCCTGACCAACATTGTGAAACCCTGTCTCTACTAAAAATACAAAAATTAGCTGGGCGTGGTGGCAGGTGCCTGTAATTCCAGCTAGTCAGTAGGCTGAGGCAGGAGAATTGCTTGAACCCAGGAGGCAGAGGTTGCAGTGAGCTGAGATCGCGCCACTGCACTCCAGCCTGGGCAACAGAGCAAGGCGCCATCTCAAAAAAAAAAAAAAAAAAAAAAAACCCTCAAAGCATCCAGGTGTTTCCTCTTTGGAGCACAGGTGATAAATAACCCACACAAGAGAGAAGTAAAAAACATTATGGTCTCAGGCCTTTATCAGTGCGTTCTGCAAACCCAGATGTGTGTCAAGTGAAGATGCTGACCAGAGCGAAACGGCTGAATGATCTCAGATACCACAGTGTTTTTAATCCACTGCCTAAAAGACAGGATGAGCCCAGATTCTTCAATGTCACAATCACCTGGCACCTAAGAGCTGCTTCCATCACCTCCAGGTGACTCCGGGCTAGAAGCACAGGAGGGAGGCACTGGCGAAGGTCATTCCCCTATCCTTCACCCAGCCCAGCCTGACCAGGATCCTAGGTGTTGTGCCAGGCACCAAGCTGACCAGGACCCTGCCCTCAAGAGAGACATGCGGGTGGCAAAAAACAGAGGGAGGGGCCAGTGCTGAAGCCTGAAATGGAAGAGCAGCTGTGGGAGGTCCAAAGAGGGGGCGCATGGGGTTCAATGATGAAGCAGCGAGAGCAAGTTCCTGGTACCCGGCCTGGGAATCAGAACACACGAGTGCAACTTCCAGTTCTGCTGCTGATTGACCCTGTGACCCAGGGAAAGTTATTTTACTTCTCTGCACCTCAGCTGTTCCATTGGCTAAAATGGGGAGGTTCTCCTGTGCCTTGTGTGGGAAATAGCTTATGGACAGTGTTACAGGGATCCTAGAGACCTTGAGGAACAGAATTCTGGAGCACAGCACCACACTGGCCAAATGTAGAATTTGTGCAAAGGCAATTTAAGGAACTTGGGATAATTTTGCTCTAACTAAAGAAACTCCTGATGGGAGGAAGGGCCGTGCATTTAGTCAGCCTGTCAATCATCACATCGAAAGCCCACCACCTGCTACAGGTGCTCTCTCTTTCAAGGCCATCTAAACTCTACTTATTCTGCAAGCAGCAGCCTAAACACCCCAGACAGGCCCTGCAGGAGTCATGGCTTCCTGCTCTGTGCTCCCCACATGGCTGTCTGCCTGCCTGTGGTCATGGCCACCCGCGTACCTGTCTCACCACCCTTCTGGAGAGGGCATTCCTTGAGAATGGGAATATGCTGGGAGGGCGGGGCTCAGGACCATCAGACGCTTCTGGATGAGCATCTTCATCTTGTCTTAATATACCCTTCAGTAAACCTGAGCACTTCCCCTGCGCTTTAGGGACCAACTGGGAGTAAACCCAGAAAGGTCCTATGTAGGCCTAAGACACCAGAATCTGAGCTGCTTCGATGTTATTTACAACTCCTCCTTCCTAAAGCACCTTCCAGGAAGGGTTTGCTTAAAGTTGGTAACACTTCACCAGGTGAGGTCCACCGACTAGGAAGGAGACAGGCGGCAACTCCAGCACAAAGTGACCCATTCACACAGATATAAAACAACTGAGATGGGAGGCCACTCCTTTCTATTCCCGGAGGCCAACAGGCCCCTGTGCAGCCTGCACTGTCCTGCGGGCACCTGTCCAGGAGGTTAGCCCCTTCATGTAATTATGAAATAAGACGCCAAGTTGTAAATGTCACTGCTGAAGAGAAAGATGCTTACTAGGAATGCTGGAATTCATTAGGATGAGGTTTCTAAAGGGGCCTGTTCCTCTGGCCTCTGGTCCTTGAGGTAGCTGTCTCTCTGTGGGAAATATGTGGGGGCAAGAGGGTTACACAGAACGCTGAAGGCTTTGTGAGGACAAAATGAGACTGATCCATGGAAGTAACATCGCAGAGAAGATGCTGGTTGGAGGATAGCTGAAATGATAGCAGTAGGATCACTGAAATGTAAGGAATAAATGAACGAGATAACTGCCCCCAAAGCCAGGAAGACATGAAACCTAAGAATCATGAGGAAGAATGAGAAAAAGGAAGACTAGACAGCTACAAGACTCACAAGAATGGCCAGCACCCAAGGCTGCCTGAATGTCCACCATGTCCAAATCTTGAGAAAACGCAACAAAAAGAATGGCATGGCAGATCTGAAAACACTGGTTATAACTGATGCCACTCTACCCATTTTACAGATGAGGAAGCTGAGGGCCAAGAAGAGAGACTTGTCAGGCATTACACGCAAGCTAGGTGGCAAAGCTGATCTCAGAACCCAGGTCTACTGACTCCCTAGTTAATGCTCCTGTGTTTATTAGCCCCGTCACCTCCAACCCACTCCCAACACAGGCCATAAACTCCTAGAGAGCAGAATGCATTGTGTAATGGACCAAAGGGTGTGCTCAGGACTAACCAGGCACCCAACACAACTAGCTCGTGGAGTATCTGCATATCATCCCATGGAAATATCAGCATGAAGACAAGTGAGTACAAGCTAAAGGTGTAGCTTTCAACACCTCCAAGACCCTGTCACCATCATTGCCGTCACGGCCCTGGCAGCACTCCTCAGGAGCTCCTGGCTGTCCAGGGGACTATTTTCAGGGCTGAGAACACCTATGTCTTCTGCCTGGGTTTGAGGCCTGGCTGGCGGCCGATGCTTCCGTACAATTACACCACAGAGGGCCACATGCACGGCCCCAGTACCAGCTGGGAGATTTTCAAATCAACATTCCCAAGGGGATGTGCGGTTGGAATTGGCGGTGGTGGATCTCACATCCAGCAGAAACTTGGGTCGCTTCTGAGCTGGACGTTTCTCTGTCAAAGCGCTCTTCTCCATTTCCCTCCCAGGACATGCTTGGGCCAACTCGGCTCATCATCAGCATCCAATTAAACCAGCCACAAGCATGTCATCTGACCATGGGTGGAATTACAACCCAGAGTGAGTAATTAATGATACCCAAAAATAAACAAGAAAAGGAAAAAAAAATCCAGAAGAAAAAAATAGTGAGCCTTCTGTCCTCTCCTTTCCCTTCTCCTATCCCCAGAAACAATTCTTAGCAGACACATCTTAACACACAAAAAGCAACACGCAACAAAATAGATCAAGAAACGATGCAAAGAAAAGACATGCTCAGGTAAGCACAGTGCCTACTGTCCTGGGAAACACAACAGGCCTTCAGGGAGGGGCAGGTGAACCATGCAAGCGCCTCCTCTGTCTTTCTGTTTTGAAATGGCTTCAGAGATTTGCAGAGATAAATATTTACAACACATTAGAGGGCTTTCACTGCAGAGCATCAGCCCAAATTCCACTAACTGGGAGAGGGTTTAGGGAGAAGGGGAAATGATGACAGCATTAAGCTATGTGACTCCAGCGTCCTGAGGCTGAGGACCTGGAAGCAGCTGCCTGGAAAAGGGGCTAATTTTCCCATTGTCCACTTTGAAATATTGCAGCAATATGCCACCTGCCTTATCATACTCTGGTGTTTTTAAATTGCTGTTCAGGAGCACCTCTGGCCTGCGGGAGCCAAAGGGCAACTGAAAGGGGTGGAGACTTCCCCTAACAGTGAGAGGATCCTGACCCCAGAGGAGTTGTTTTGAGGCCCACGGGACAGGCACGGTCCCCCTGTGCTCCACCAGCCAGACCAGGCTGGCTTCTCGCACTGGAGGGTCTGAGCATGTGGTAGAGGGTCCGCCCCGCGACGCACAGACCCAGGGCGTGTCCCCAAGGGGATGTGCGGTTGGAATTGGCGGTGGTGGATCTCACATCCAACAGAAACTTGGGTCGCTTCTGGGCTGGATGTTTCTCTGTCAAAGCGCTCTTCTCCATTTCCCTCCCAGGACAAGGCCCAGCCACAGGGCAGCTGGCTCACTATAGGAATAGGGGCTACAAAGGAAGACGGGGAGCTTGCCAAGGGTCCTGCGCCTTGGCCACAGATTCTAGGGGCTCCTCCAGCCTGACCAGACAAATGTTCACCCTCTAGGAGCAGGGAAGGGATGTCTGTGTGCCAGGCCCTGGGAAGGCTTTGCATGCTGATTCAGCCCATGAACCTCCATCATGTCTCCTCGAGGTGGTGGTTAGTATCTTCCAGTTTCAGATGAGGAACCTGATGCTCAGAGACTTTCGGTAATTTGTTTAAGACAACTCAGCAAAAAAGGCTCAGGGTGGAGAGCAATTACAGATTCGCCTCGCTCGATAGTTTGCTTGAGCCACGACACATTTCTGAGAAAAGCCTTCGGACATCTCTGAAGTCCCTTTTAAAGTCCTCTTATGAGCCAGAAATGCTTCCACATCAAGGGTGAAGATAGCAGACGACCCCAGATCATCTCTGTGCAGTGGCTGGGGCTTCATGGACAGAACCCCCAACCATGACCACCTCCCACAAGACCCTCATCCCCAAGAAGCATGAAGACTATTGGGATTCTCTTTCATTGACAAAGACCAATAGAGAAACTTCTGGAAGAAAGGGTTTTATGCCCTTGTATCACCGAATCATCTAAACACTCTATGAGATATATAGATATATAGATTTTTTTTTTTTTTTTTTGAGATGGAGTCTTGCTCTGTCACCCTGGCTGGAGGGCAATGGCGCGATCTTGGCTCACTGCAACCTCCGCCTCCCGGGTTCAAGCAATTCTCCTGCCTCAGCCTCCTGAGGCACGCCACCATACCCGGCTAATTTTTATATTTTTAGTAGAGACGGGGTTTCACCATGTTGGCCAGGCTGGTCTCAAACTCCTGAATTCAGGTGATCCGCCCACCTTGGCCTCCCAAAGTGCTAGGATTACAGGTGTGAGCCACCACGCCCAGCCCTGAGATTAATATTATTTCTATTTGGCTGGGTGCAGTGGCTGATGCCTGTAATCCCAGCACTTAGGAAGACTGAGGCAGGAGGATCACTTGAGCTCGGGAATCTGAGGCTGCAGTGAGCTGTGTTCGCACCACTGCACTCCAGCCTGGGTGACCGGGTGACCAAGTGAGGCCCTGTTTCAAAAAAAAAAAAAAAAAATTCCACTTGACAAATGAGGAAATCGAGAAGTATAATAATCCAAGATCACGCAGCTGGTCAGTGGTAGGGCTCGAAACCCCGTCTGTTGGGCTCGACAGCCTGGTGCCTGCTTTTCACTGCCCATGCTGCCCTGCCTTCCGGGCTCCTGGGCAGCCAGGATACGGCCAGCGCTCAGCTTTGCAGGCTCTGCCCAGACAGGAAGGCCTTGACTCTCACTGTGCTAATCTATGTTTTCCACATTAGCAGCCTGCCCCTCCTCGGATGGTCGGGGGGAGAAAGGAAACAGAGTTCATAGAGTGATTTATGCAACCTGTTAGCAGCTCTGGTAAAAGGTTTTGGGTCCAGGAAGTTGAAATGAATAACCACAGCCAGTTTCATATATTCGCTGTACAACAAACTTTCTTCAGGCCTTACTCGCCCCCTCTCAAAATGAAGCATGAAAAACTGTGTTGGCTATGGCTCAGCCATGGCATTGTTTATAGCGCCCAGCTCCTGTTTTGTGGACCAAACAAATTATCATGAGAAGACACAGTTTTTGCTTCAGCAACAGTGTAACATGAGTCTCCTTCCTCATCCTTAGCACCTTCTGCTAAGAGGTATAAATCATATCCTTTAGGATAGGACAGAATTTATTTTGAACTTGGCTGAAAAATTTGGGGGACTTACATAAGACAGCACATATAACACCCAATGTAAATTTCCCTCTCGCTTCTATTGCCAATATGAAGTGATGGCTTACGCACGGATTGATGTAGTTCAATACACAGGGGAAATGGAATTTGAGATCTGAAAATCTTCCATTTCTATGGTAAGGATGTCCATGGTCCCTGCTGGCCTTTCCATAGTTCACATCTCTCTCGTGTCTGCTATAAGTTTTTGGTTTTTTTTTGTCTCTAAAAGCTTAAATTCTTTCCTATTTGAGGCAGGAACACATCTGGACTCTGTTCACAACAGTTAGACCGATGATGCTTAGTCTTTCTTCTTCACCAACAGGCTTTTTTTCAGAGACCCCTGGGGGAGAAGCTGTAGAAAGCAATCCTTTTTGGATAGAATTATCAGGTGTTTTCTGAAAATAATGATACAGATACCACTGGTTGCCCAAACTGTCACAGTGCAACTTTTCAAATTCTCCATTTTGAGATTCTTTATCAGAATTATGGGCTCCTGTTTCTAATCTCACCTTCCAACCACTCTCTCCCTCTTGAGTGGCATTTGAGCCCATGCCACCTTATGGATTCAGTCTAAAATTAGGTAAACTAACAAAGGTTCCATCCTGCTGCCTGCAGCTCCTCATCCCCACACTGTCCCCTGACACCTGCTCCTGCCCTTGGCCCTGCACTCTGTCAGGGCCTGTCCACTGCAGCCTTGCCCCTTCCATTGATTCACATGGCAATGACAATGATAGGACTAATTCCTTATATTTCTATGGCATGTTGCAACGTTCAAAATACATTCCCAGCCCATAAAACTCCTTCCCATGCTTTAACTCGTTTGATCCTTACAGCAACCCTAGGGGGCAGGTGCATCCATGTGGACTGGGTTTAACTGCATATCACAGAACACCTCTAGCAGCAACAGTTTCAACACAGAGAAGAGCATAACTAAGCCACATCCACGGAGGGCATGGCTGCTCCATGAAGTTATCAAAGACCCAGACGACTTCTGCTTTTCTCCTTTGCTATCCTAGATCTCATTTCCATCCTCAAGGTACCTCATGGTGCAAGACAGGGGCTGCTGGGGCTCCAGCCAACTTGGCTGCATTCCAGGCAACTGAAAGGACCAAAGAGAAAAGACACCCTGACTTTGCTTCCTGCAATGAGGCAGACTGTTTAAGCATCCTTCCTGGAAGTCTTTAACATTTCTTCTCATAGCTCACTAGACAAAATTTAGTCATGTGACGACACTTAGCTACAATGAAAGCTGTGAAATGCATTCTTTTATGGGCAAAAGGTTACCCCCAAATAAATGGGATGCAGTTGTAAATAAGAAAGGAAAGAACTGATATAGAGCAGGAACTAGCAGTACTCCCACAGAAGGCAAGAAGTAACTACACCCACTTTACAGATCAAGAAATAGAGGCCCAAAGAGATTAGGTGTTGCTACGGTCACATGGTCACTAGTGGCAAGATGGGAACTAAGTCCATGTCACTGGCCCCACATCCAGATCCCCTTTCCCTGTTCATGGAGCCTCCTTGCTGCAGTGGAGCCGCTGCTGTGTTTCCGCATGGACTCTTGCTTGCTTCCCCTCCAGACCTTTGTTCAGCCCTCAGCTGTCCCCAGTTGGTCTATCAACAAGATCCGTGCCTGCCAGCCCCAGGCTGCCATCCTGAAGGACTACTGTCCTCTGTCCCCTGCCTCACACTTTGTTCCTTCTTTGTTCCCTGCCTTGCCTCCCTGCATTTGTGTCCCACTGGGTCCCTTGGAATCCAGGCATGGTCATTAGCAAGGAGGACCAGGCCAGAGGTGGCCAGATACCAGCAATACAGACCCTCAGAGTAGGATCACAACCCCACAACTATTTCTGCAATGCCCAGAGAGTTCTGTGAGCAGGATGCCTCACCTTGGGGTACCCATACCATACCAAGATGGTTGACACCTCCTGAAATTGTTTCTGATGGCCAACCTCTTGTGTGACCATGACCTTGTTCCATTCTGACACTGAAAACACATTTCATGATGGATGTGGACGCTTATCTGTGGGTCCTTGACTACAATGCCTAAGCAAACACAAATTAGTTAGTGCTGAAGTGCAGTTTGGTAAACAGAACCTTTGCAATGATGGAGTCCGTTATGGGAAGTGACTAAGCGGGTTTCTTGGTGGTGAAATGTGTGGGGACTTCTGCTCCATTGGAAGGGGAGAGTCTGTATTTCCAGTGAAAATTGGAGCCTGGACTCTCAGCACAGGGGCCAGTCCTGGACTTCCCCGCCTTCCTGTGTACACATGAAAACATTTTGTTTTCAAGTTCTAGCACCTTGGCTACCTCTTTCGTGTCTCTAACATGAAGGTCTCTGTATTCTGGCAGCAGTTCTCCCCATTGTGAACAATGAATCCGCCACTCTTCCCTGGAGTTACACTGTCTCAGTTCCTCTCCCCCAGCAGACTCATTCTTCTCCAGGTGGTGCTCTCCAGCCTCCTACCATCCTCTACAGGGTCGCAGGCTACAGGGTTTCCTCAGCCTCCTCCAGCCAACTACGGCGGAAGCACCAACAACCAAGAGAGGCGCAAACTCCTGAGATCCTCTCCCAGAAAGGGCAAATAGGACCAGGCAGAGAACAGCCGGCTTCTCAGCGAGAGGAAGATGTCCACCCCCAGCCACAGCGCCTGACTTCTCCCTGGGACCATGGAGGGGTGTGGAAAGAATGGCCCCACATCATCCCTTGTGCTAGAAGAAACCCACATCACAGCACAGAAAAATGTTTCTCCACTTTATGAGTCCAGAAATACCTCTCTGACCTTTTCTAGCAGGAGGAAAAAATATGGCCTTAATCTTTTCAGTAGCAAATATCTTTTACCCTGTGACAGTTTGCAAACTGACTAGCCAATGGTCAAATGGCTCTTCAGCTTTCCTGTCTCCTGAGCCAGGAATCCTAACAAAATGTCACGTTATATTGGTGCTGTTGATACTACATCTTCTAAAAAAGATGGACGATCTATCATCATCGTTATATTAGTGCTGTTGATACTATATCTTCTAAAAAAGATGGACGATCTAGCATCATCTAGGAGATAATTAAGTCCCTATATCTCAGGTACTGGACTACACACTTTACATATTTTGCCTCATTGAATCCTCACACACAGGGCTTACTGTCCCCATTCTCTAGCTGCCTCCTCCCTGACAGGTGAAGTTTCATTGCTTTCATCTCTGTTTACCAAGGTTGAGAGGAGCCCCTCCTGTTATGAGTCTGATAAGAATGACACAGGAAGGTGGGGAAGTCCAGGACTGGCCCCTGTGCTGAGAATCCAGGCTCCAATTTTCATTGGAAATACAGACTCTCCCCTTCCCATGGAGCAGAAGTCCCCACACATTTCACCACCAAGAAACCCCCTTAGTCACTTCCCACAGCAGACTCCATCATTGCAAAGATTCTGTTTACCAAACTGCACTTCAGCACTAATTAGTCTATTTCCCAATTTTAATTAAATTTTAATTTCATTTAATTCATTAGTTTTTCTTCTAATTAAATAACATTTGAGTTATTTTAATTTTAATTAAAGACATAAAATACAATGCACCAAACTGACAGAACTGCAGCTGAGTGCAAAAAACAAAGAGAAAACAAGGTTTTGACTCATAAATATTTCAGCGTGCACTTCCTAAGAAACAAGGACACTCTCTTTCAGAACAACAGTACAACATCAAAGTCAGGACACTAGCAGTAACACCCCAATACTATTTCATCCACAGTCCCATTCAAAATGTGTCAGTTGTCCAAAAACAAAAACACAGTTCCTGGCCCCGGATTGCATGTAGTTGTCCCACGTGTTCTATCTGAAATGATTCTTCAGTCTTTCTTTGTTTTCCAGGACTTAGGACAATTTGGGGAATATGGGCCATTTTTTTTTTTATTGATTTATTGATTTTGAGATGGAGTCTCACTCTTTCACCAGGCTGGAGTACAATGGCACGATCTCAGCTCACTGCAACCTCCACCTCCTGGGTTCAAGTGATTCTCCTGCCTCAGCCTCCCAAGTAGCTGGGATTACAGGTGCCCAGCACACCCAGCTAATTTTTGCATTTTTAGTAGAGATAGGGTTTCACCATGTTGGCCAGGCTCGTCTTCATCTCTTGACCTTGTGATCCACCCACCTCGGCCTCCCAAAGTGCTGGGATTACAGGCGTGAGCCACCGCGCCCGGCCATGGGCCAATTATCTAGTAAAAGTCCTTCAATCTGGGTTTGCCTGATGTTTCCTCCTGACTAGACGCAGGCTGTGCATCTTTGTCAGGAAAGCCACGGAAGCCATACTGCGTTCTCGCAGCGCCATGTCGGCAGGCACATGGTGCCAGTGTGTCCTATCACTGTGACGTTAACTTTGATCACAGTCAAGCTACTATTTTTCTCTTTGTAACAACAACATTTTGTGGGGCAATACTTTAAGACTCTGACAATATCCCATCTCCTAACAAATGTTTACCTGTTTGTTTTAGCCTCCATTGATGATTCTTGTCTAAATAAATTATTACTATGTTGAGCCGGGCGCGGTGACTCATGCCTGTAATCTCAACACTTTGGGAGGCCGAGGCGGATGGATCACCTGAAGTTAGAAGTTCGAGGCCAGCCTGGCCAGCATGGTGAAACCCCATCTCTACTAAAAATACAAAAATTAGCCGGGAGTGGTGGTGGGCACCTGTAATCCCAGCTACTCGGGAGGCTGAGGCAGGAGAACAACTTGAACCCAGGAGGCGGAAGTTGCAGTGAGCCAAGATCACACCACTGCACTCCAGCCTGGGCGACAAGAGTGAAACTCCATCTCAAATATATATATATAGCTATGTCAATTGCCAAAAGGTGACTTTCCAATGCCTTCACTCCTTCTACATTTATTAGCTGGCATTCTACTCCACTGTGTTGACCTCACCCATGCCCAGCCAAGAAGAGCTTCCTGGGATCACCCACTTACGGTAGGTTGTGCCAAGCATATTGTTCCCTTCTAGTATTCCCCAAAATGCAAATACCAGAAGGCTCCGTGGTGCCTGAGGCAGGGGAACTGGACAAGGCAGAAGTGTCAGAGCTGCTGAGGCTGGAGCTTTGGGCCCATCATCCAAGTACTTGAGGCAGCAATGACCCGCTTAGAAAAATCTCCAGGATACGGGATCACTGTCCACTCATACTCGATGAAGAAATGATCACTGCATACCACAGGCAGCACCAGAACACCTTTTCTTTCCTCTATTTGTTTTTTTAAACAACTGTTGACATGGGCTCTCCATTATTTCACAAAATATGAACTGAGGGATTTTAGGCAAGCGTGAGTAGGTAGGGCCCTGGGATAGAGCCGTGGCTCACCGGCCTGGCTATGGCACTGCGTCCAACCATGGGCAAGCCATCCCCAGCTGTCGCAGACTGTAAGGATGAGGGGTTTGAAATGAATGTGGTCTGAGACTCCTCCCAGCCCTACCACCCTGTGATTCTGAACAGGAATGGTCTTTGCCCCTCACTCATACCTTGTTTGTTCTCAGAACAGCACAAATATATCATCAGACACAGGAGATATACTCTACTGCGTTGTTCTCACCCATGCCCAGCTAAGCAAGCCACAAAATCCCTACTATGTGCCAAGCACTATGCTAAATGTGAGGGTTCAGAAATAAATAGTGTCTTTCCTAGCCTCAAAATGCAAATACTGGAGGTTTTTTCACTAAATATCCTCTGCTGCCACTGCTGCAGCTGCTTCCATCCTACCCTGGTCCTGAGGGCAGCAGCCCTGCTCCCCAGTCACCCAGCAAGCATGGGCAGGCCCTGCTGAGAGAGGGCCCTGCCTATGAAGGAGAACCAGAGACTGGGAGGTGCTGGGACCTGCCTTACTACTGACAGCTCCCCTCTCTTCTGCAACATTCCTCATGATCATTAAATATCACCATATGGAAACTAACATTTCCTTAGTACCTACTGTGTGCCAGCCCCTGGAATATTTGAAAGGCCCTCACTTTCTATTTTGCAAATGTTGAAAATTCAGGTCCACGGTGGCCTGTAATAACCTGCTTAGGGTCACACGGCCAGTGAGTGACCAGCAGAAATGCAAGTTAGTCCCCATCCCCATCACAAAGTCTGAGCTCTTTTGCCTCAATGTGGTCCCTTTAAACAGGGCTTACCTCTGATTCCACCCACTCCCTGTGCAGTTACCTACTTCTGGGAAACAAATCACTCCAAAACCTAGTGGCTTAAAACAACAGTGTATTACTATCCCTGACAGTTCCGTGGGTCCCCTAGGCTTAGCAGGGTCTGATTGTGGGGGTCTTTTGGGCGAATGCAGTAAGACGGTGGCTGGGCTGGAGGCCTCTAAAGGCTCAGCCTGGCTGGCCGACCATGATGGCTACACAGGTCGCAGCAGTCCCTGCTGGCCGCGGCAACGCGCTTAGCAGAGCTGTCATCCTGATGAGCTCACGTGGGCTCTCCCTGAGGTTCAGGCTCCATCCCGGCACGGCAGCCGGGTCCAAGGGGAAGTCTGCCACGGTGAGTGTTCCAGGAGACCCAGGCTGAAACGGCAGGGCCTCTTGTGACCCAGCCTTGGAAGGCACTCGGCATCACTTCCACTCCATCCCATTTGTCAAAACAAGCCACGGTGCCAGCCCAGACTCAGGGAGAGGGACCAACACAAAGGTGTGCGTACAGGGAGGTGTCTCCCTTAGGGGTCGGCTTTGGAGACCAGCTGCCACGTCCCCTCATGCCACAGTGGGACACAGATATAGATGGTCCCCGCCACAATGCGGTTCCACTTCACAATTTTTCAGCTTTAGGATGGGTTTATCAAGGCATCAAATGTATTCTCAGCTTAGGATATTTTTTATTTACGATAGGTTTATTGGGCTATAGCCCCCCCCATAAGTAAAGGAGCGACTGTATTTTAAATTTCTTCCCTATAGTCTTCCTAGTTTTCTACTATATACAAACACACACACACACTTTTGTAATCACAGGGATAAATATTTGAAATTATAACTATATAATATTGTAATATATGTTCTATGTAGGAGTATCAGTGTGTCAAATGTATATTAATGTGTGTGTGTGTACATATATATATATATATATTTTTTTTTTTTTGAGATGGAGTTTTGCTCTTGTTGCCCAGCCCAGAGTGTAATGGCACGATCTCGGCTCACCGCAACCTCTGCCTCCCAGGTTCAAGCGATTCTCCTGCCTCAGCCTTCCAAGTAGCTGGGATTTCATGCCCGGCTAATTTTGTATTTTTAGTAGAGACAGGGTTTCTCCATGTTGATCAGGCTGGTCTTGAACTCCCAATCTCAGTGATCCGCCAGCCTCGGCCTCCCAAAGTGCTGGAATTACAGGCGTGAGCCACCACGCCTGGCCGTTAATGTATATATTTATATATATGTGTGTATATACACACACATATGAAACCAGAAGAAAATATACAAAATACCACTGGAATAAGTGTGCAATTATTTTTAAAGTATTTTTCATGTTTCCAAAATGGACATATATTGCTTTTGAAAACATTTTAAAAGAAATTAATTAACTACCTCACAGAAAACACCCATCTTTTAGTCAATGTGCATGAGATTTAAGGCATTTAGCCATGACCGCAACTTTCTTTAGGATTCCTTCTCAAAGTCAACAGAGGCACCTATTTATACAACCTTCTTCCGAAGCCAAGTCCGCTCCAAGCTTCTGCAACCTTCCTGCTTCACCACAAGATGGTTGACTGGACTTCCAAATGCATTTGTCAAAGAAAAATCAAACAATAAGCTGAGAGTTCATCTCACCTGGCTTCGTTTCCTGTCATTCATCTAGCTGTATTTATGCTACATTTCCCCATCTCTTCTTGCCAAGTACATCTTGGAAAGAGCAGATGCTCTGAGTATCTGAGCAGCTTAGAAAAATCCTCAAGCCTCCAGAGACTGAGCCTTTCCCAGAGGCCAATTTGCATTCTCAGAGCTCCAGGCCTAAAGGAACCCACTAAGCCAGAGCAGTGACTGTCACCTGTAAACCTAGCACTTCGCGAGGCCAAGGCAGGAGGATCCCTTGAGCACAGGAGTTCGAGTCCAGCCTGGGCAATGTAGTGAAACTCCGTCTTAACCAAAAAAAAAAAGTAATCCAGCCATGAAAGAGCAGCCTCAGAAATAGGTGAGGACACGAGCTCATGAATGGGAAAGTTCAGTCAAACCTCTGTGTCCAGGGAGGTAAACTGAGGCAAAGCAATTCCCTTCCTGTCAGATTTAAATGACTGTGTAAACCTCACTGCAGACAATGAGGTGGAAGGTGATGAACTTGCTACTGCCTAAAGTGATACAGACCATCCAAACCCAACAGCAAAAGCAGCCAACGGGCTTCCCTCTGAGTTAACAGCCAGCAAAGGCACAGGGTGAGCCTGGACCGCACGCTTCGGGAACTGGGCATGGAAAGAGCTGGGCACCTGGGCAGGAGATGCCACAGGCAAGCCTAAGTTCTCCTGGCAGCCCTACCCTTCCCACAGGAGGGCAGGTTCTGAACGGCCAAGCCCTGGGGTCTGTTACCAGCGTCCGCACACATCAACAGCTCTGGGAGCCCGAGATGGTGTATTTGTTGAGTCAGTCAGTGCTATTTTTACCCGGTCACTTTCCAACCATAAACCCAGACTTCAAATGTCATCACTTGGGGTGGATTAAGAAATCTGACTTGGCCTTTCTTGGGGTTTAATTTCCTACACGCCTGCATGAACGAAAAACTTTGGCATTCCTATGGAAACTAAGACATTTTAACCTTATCCAGGCAGGTGGTATCTGGATTATTGGTGTCTTGATTGTACTCTTAAACCTGCAGTTTCCCGATCTCCATGGATGTCAAACAAACAAACAAACAAAAAGCGTGTACTGCTCTGATGAGGCAGAGACGCCATGCCCTGCCCTTTCTCTCCTCTTCCAAAACAGGTCGCTTCCCCACAGGTCTGTATTCATGGTCTGGTTCCCAGAATGCCAGGTCAGGGCAAATTTGCTTTCTGAATATTCTAGTCCAATATCAAGAGATGAGGTTGCCTCTGTGCAATTCATACAACAGTTATTTGTGACTTTACTGGAGTCATTAATAGTTAAGTGATAAACATCCAGGTACAGAGTTTGGTAACTGTCAGTGATGGAAGATTTGAACAATCTTAAAAGAATTCCCAAGTGATTTCAGTTATAAAGCCAGGCGTTAATTGTGTGGTCACAGAAACGCTGAACACGTACCAAAAGGAAAAGGGATGTTCCTTTTCCAGGGGAGCCAGTTTGAGTTTTGTTTTCTTTTTAAAACACTTGTACCTTCATTCATATTTTAAGTACCATCATGATGGTTGGTAACTTTAATTCCTTTAACATTAACAAAATTGGTCAAAAGCACTTCTAGCCCAGGCGATCTGGGATTTTCTGCTCCAAGACAGACAGAGCCCTTCTGCTTTTCAAAAGAAAAACCTGGAACTGCACCAAGGTTTCCTCCTGCACCTAACGAGAGGCTTGCCATGCTGGAATAAAAACAGAAACAAGATGCTGCTCGAAGTGTTTCGCTCAGGAGGAAAAACACTGCCCCAAGAAGTTACCAGCTGGGCACTGCTGAACGTGAGCACGGTCCCAGGTTCTCTCCGGGGCCAGGGGAAGTACCAAGCCGGAACCTCTGAGTGAGTGTCCCATCAACAGTACCCGCAGCCAGCAACAACACACTGCAAAGTTCTAAGACATGGATGCCTTCCCTGTTCATGACTAACAACTTTGCATTCTTTCAATCATTCAACGAATATTTATTACACCCCTACTGTGAACCAGGCACTGCTCTAGCCACTGCAGATAAGGCAGGGGAAAGACAGGCAGGGGTCCCACTCCTGTAACTTACAGAGTAGACAAGATGGCCTCAGATGGCAGTAAGTGTTTCGGAGAAAATAAAATAGGGTGATGGGGGAGAATGTGACATTGTGAGAGCTACTGGCATCGGATAGTCAGGGAAGGGCTTTTCAAAAGGCAACATTTGAGCTGAAACTTGAACTGTGGGGAAACAGAAATGCAAAGATTTGGGGAAAGAGGGCAAAGGGAGTCACTAGTGAAAAATCAAGGAATGCATTTAGCACATTTCTGTTAAAAAGCGGGGAGGAGAACCAGTGGAGTTGGAGCATGGGTGAGTGAGGAAGAAAGGTACTAAAGCTTAAAGCCGTGGCTAGAGAGCTAGGTGGACACACCTGATCGGGTGAGGGGCTTTAGGCATTAGAGAGGAGTGGTTTGGCAGCCCCCCGGGGCTGATCGACACCCCTACTTTCAAGACTTGGCACCTCTCCATGCCTCTACCCTGATCCTGGCGTCCTGGTACACATCTTGCAAGTCCATCAGGAGCTCTGGCTCTCTAGACGGTGCTCCCAACAGTGGAGATGCTCACCCTGAGAGATGTCATAGAGCTCTCCCACTAGGGAACCGCATCTCCCCTGCATTTTAGGTCCCCTGGCTAACTTTTGTGAGGCTGGGGCCAAAGACAGAGAGTGTAGCTGCTACTCCTCAAGGAAAGAAAATACCAGGAAGGCTCAGGGAAAGACGCAGCGTCTCCTCCCCCAGCATCTGCCTGGCCATTATGGCCTGGTTCTGCTCCTGGCCTCATTCTCCTTTGTGTTGTTACCTAGGAGGTGCTCGACACTAAGTAACATTCTGGTTCATATAAGACTGGGCGGAAGAACAGCTCCCAGCACAGCCTTGCTATGCACCTAAAAACGGACATGAAACTCTATTTTTATTCACTGAATCGTATGCTCCTAATGACTAAAAGCATCATTTTAAAGACCTTTCATTTTCCTTTCTGGTTTTCAAATGGCCAGTGAGCTTCCCACTTTTCCAAATTCCCTTCCTCCACCCTCCCCACCACAGTAGTCCACTGACTCGGGGTAAAGTACGGGCTCAGGGGAATCCTACTGAAAGGCATCGTGGATAAAGTGAACTTCACTTTAGAAAGCAGAAGGAGCTTTGCATCTCAGGCCATCCCGCACCGGCTCGCTGTCCAGGAGAGCACCCAGCTCCCACCAGGGAGTCCCTCCTATGGGCCATGAGTGGCAATGACCTCATTTCCCTGACAGGAATTGTGGAGATGTCATTGCTGGGGTCTTCCCCAGGTCACGAGACTAAGGGCTGTGTCAGTAGGCACTGGTGAGAACAGCCGCTGGCTCCCTCGGGTTGCAGGAGCAGAGTGACATACTCAGAGTCCCTCAGTCAGAGGATGGAGAGGAAGCTCAAGGCAGAAGGAGGACACCAGGCCAGGCAGACACTTCTCTGGTGATTTTTTCTTTTTTAACGAGGGCTGTAGATCATTTCATTGGTCAGCTTCATATAAGCCAGCCTCCTGCCAGCCTTGCTACTGGCAATCAGGAAACCTTCCACACACCACCCCATCTTTGTCTAGAGACCCTTTGTCTAGAGCCTCAAAAGAAAATGAGGCTTTCACTTTTCCTCTGCAGAGGAGGCAGAGGAGTGGATCCTGGGAAGAGGAAACACACGGGCTCTCTTCCTCACAGCAGCCTACTCTTTTTCTTCTTAGGACTTCCCACAGTTGGCAATTATACCTTTTTTTTTCTGAGATAGGGTCTCCCTTGGTCACCCAGGCTAGAGTGCAGTGGCACAATCACAGCTCACTGCAGCCTTGATTTCCCGGGCTCAAGTGATCCTCCCACCTCAGCCTCCTGAACAGCTGAGACCACAGGTGCACACCACTACACCCGGTTAATTTTAATTTTTTTTAAAAGACAGAGTCTCATTATGTTGCCCAGGCTGGTCCTGAACTCCTGGGCTCAAGTGATCCTCCTGCCTCAGCCTCCTGAGTAGCTGAGACTATAGGAGCATGCCACCATGCCTAGCTATTTCCTTTCCTTCCCTCTTTCCCTCCCTCCTTTCCTTCCCTCCCCCCTCCCTCCCTTCCCTTCCCTTTCTCTTCTTCCTCTTCCTCCTTCTCCTCCTCCCCTTGGCTGCCTCCTCCTCGTCCCCTTTCCCTTCCTCTTCTCCTTCTCCTTCTTCTTTTCATAGAGATTGGGTCCCACTATGTTGCCTGAGCTGGTCTCGGACTGGACTCAAGCGATCCTCCCTCCTTGGCCTCCTGAGAAGCTGGGTCTACATGAGTGTGCCACCGTGCCCAGCCACAGTTGTACATCTGTTTGTTTACTTATCTATGGTTGGCCTCTCTCATAAGACTGTAAGCTCCATGAGGGCTTGGATTGTCCCTTAGTACACATTCAACAACAACTATTATTTTTTAAAAGGAGGAAATACAAGACTCACAGAACCAGGTTCACTTGGTAAAGAGCTTCCCCATTTAAGAAACTTAGAGCAACGATGAAAAAGCTCTACCCCAGAGCAATCGGGGCTGTGCCCTCAGAGCCACAGTTGTTGAGCATCAAATTCTGCCAGGGCAGAGCGGTCAGGGAAGTACACACAGGCAGTAATGCTCGGCCTAAGTCCTCGGAAGACAGAGAAGTCCTCTCCCCATAACAAGAGAGGCTCTTCTACAGTCAGGAGGGCCACGCAGCGTGCACTGGCTGAGCACCAGCCCGGCGGACAGAAGCAGAGGGCAGAAGCTCTCAGGAGACATGTGTGAGATGGAACTGGGGGAATGCGGACAGAAGGGAAGTCTAAGACCATTCCTTTGTTTCTGGCTCAAGCAACCTGTCATTAGCCAAGCTTCGGAAAGGGCACATTTGGGGAGAGGACGACAATGAGT
The DNA here is from genome assembly GCF_000001405.40 of Homo sapiens. Taxonomy (NCBI): domain Eukaryota; kingdom Metazoa; phylum Chordata; class Mammalia; order Primates; family Hominidae; genus Homo; species Homo sapiens. The sequence continues at coordinate 195,175,493 of NC_000003.12, forward strand.
TCTGTGTTGCATGTTGACTTTGCTGCACCCATGGGCTGTTCAGATGGAGATTCCTAGGGGTAGTTAGGACACAGGTCTGGGTGTTTCAGAAGCAGGTCTCAGATGGACACGGTAGTAACAGACATCGCTAGTGCTCACCCGCACTCTGCCTTCCTGGATCCTTGCAGCGAGGTGGCCACATGACTAGCTCCTGGCTGATGGACTATGAGCAGAAGTGCTGTGTGCAACTCTGGACTGTAGCAGTGAGAAGCCACTGCAGGGCCTCAGCCACTGCTCCCCTGGAAGCCACATGCTCCAGATGGCGTCGTTACAGGATGGAAGTGGCCTCGATTCCCGAGTCACTGCTTAAAAGGAAGATGTCCTAGAAAGCCAATGCATCCAGTGTGACATTTGTGTGGGAAAGAAAAAAAAAAATTATGTATGAAGTCACAGAAATTTCAGTCATGTTTGTTATTACAGCCCAGCTTAGTCTAGCCTTACTAACACAGAGGTCATCAGTGTATACGTAGCAGCTTAAGTCAAGTAGACACAATCTTTTTTCTGCCCACACACCTAAAAGATATGACAGAATTTTTTTTTTTTGAGACAGGGTCTCACTCTATCGCCCAAGCTGGAGTGCAATGGCATGATGCCAACTCACTGCAACCTCCATCTCCTGGGCTCAGATGATCCTCCCACCTCAGCCTCCCAAGTGGCTGGGACTACAGGTGTGTACCACCATGCCCCGCTAATTTCTGTATTTTTTGTAGAGACAGGGTTTCACCATGTTGCCCAGGCTGTAATTTTAACAACATGACCACATTCCAGTAATGACCTGAAAGGGAGAAGAGGTGACGTTCCCCTGCCCTGGCATGCATATTATAATCCTGGGTAGAGGAGGGGTGTGTAGAATGCTTAAATCCCCTCCCAGTAATTCTGATCCTCTGTGATCACACTTCTCCCCCATGATCTGAAAAGAACTGGTATGAAATGAGATGAGAAGCAGATCTTGAATATTCTGTCTTCGGTTTCAAACACAACAATCTTGCTTGTGCGCCATCAGTACGTTCCACCCCTCTGACACACTGGTATAATTTGATTAATTTATCGTGTTTATTAAGCTCCCTAGCTTCTCCAGTTCCTCATGTTTGGAGATACATTGATGTTGATGAGGCTGGAGAGCTGGAGGAAGCAAGACAGTAATCTGTATCCCACACCACAGCTGGCACTCCCTTACGCTTACCTAAGGACTCTAAACATGCAAAAGGCAGATGTTTGGGGTTGGAATTGACAATATGAAAAGCTCAGTAAGAAGACGCAAAAGTCACAGTTCCCATGGTAACCCTCCTTACCTCACAGAGCACAGGCCCACAGGGTCTGCTGGAAAGGTGATCTGAGAGGTAGGACAAGGCCGACTCCTTGGAACCAGCAAGAAACTCTCAAGCCCCCGCCTAGGGACTAACTCCCCGGCCTGCTGCCGCTGCTGACGTCCCCCCGCCACAGCAGGTCGGGGACCACATGCCGCCCTCCTCGCTGGGCTCTCACATCAGCACTACCAGCCAGGGGTTACTCCAGGGAAAGGGAAGGGTGCTACTCATAAAGGCTGGGTCCCTCCCTCAGGCTTCTACAGGAGCCCTTCTGCCGAACTCCTGAACCTCCTGTGGGCTTCCCAGGCTGTCCGTGCAGAATCACCTGCTCCCTTACAGTATTAACTCGCGTAGTTCTACTGCATATGCACACAGTATTATATTTAGGCATTTGTGCATCTGTGATGCTTCCTAGACAGTGAGGCCCACAGAGGTATGGACTGTATCTTGCCCTTTTATCCCTGGCCTCCAGAACAGGATCTGAAGGAGGACCTCAATTTCAAGATGACCTCAAATGAATGAATTCAAGATTCTCTCTTGACTCTTGAATGTGTTCATCAAGGACTTACTAGAAGATAGAGAAAGATACTTACCAGGCTTGCCAAGAGCATGAAACAGAGACACAGAATGGCAAACAGAAAGGGCAGAAGAATCAGTCTCTGACACAACCTGGTGGGGTAGGATCAATGCACCAACTCAAACTTGGGCTGAACATGAAAGCCCTGCAGTGGCATCATGCCAACCAACCACACAAGTTCGTGGCCATGAGACCTGCCTTAGCAGTAGCCTCAAAAAATGGGGAGATGGCCAGGTACGGTGGCTCACAGTGATAATTCCAGCACCTTGGGAGGCTGAGGGAGGACGATCGCTGAGTGCAGGTGTTTGAAAACCAGCCTGGGCAACACAGCAAGATCCCATCTCTACAAAAAAAATAAAAAAATAAAAAATAAAAAAATTAGCTAGGCATGCGCCTGTAGTCCCAGCTACTCAGGAGGCTGAAGTGGGGTAATTGCTTGAGTCCAGGAGTTGGAAGTTACAGTGAGCTGTGTTCATGCCACCGCACTCCAGCCTGAGTGACAGAGCAAGGCTCTGTCTCTTAAAAAAAAAAAAAAAAAAAAAGAGGGATGGAAATGTTGCTTTTGTTGACTGGAGTATCAGTTACAAGGGTATATAAGTTTGTCAAAACTAACTGGACTGCACACTTAAGACCTGTGCATTTCATTGTATTAAACATTTGATCTTGATAGAAAATAAATGAAAAGGAGGTATGACAGTCTGACTCCATTTTTTGCTCTTTAACTGCTGACAGCTTTTTTTTTTAAGCCCCATCCCTCGCTCTTCCCCTTCTGCCCCACATCTGGGCAAGCTGATAAGAAAGTCTGGATGCTCTCCCGCTTGGCTGCAGCAGAAGGTTCAAACCATGTAAGCCCCTGCCCACACGGAACCCTCGCCCAAACCTAACCGCTAATCACCATACAATCCCCAGACCAGTCTCCTTTCTCCTTTCTCTTCCCTGTCTTTCATTTTCAGACCAGCTTGAGAAGCCGGCCCTGCTCTCTCCAGAAAACCCTATTATGTGGTCTCAACGTTCAAATCAAATTCTGGGTGGAGACCATCCTGGAAATGTGGAGCGGCCACAACAAAGGGCACACACAGAGGATTTGGTGCCACTGCAAACTCAGTGTCTCCAGCAGGACGCGGCCATCAAATAAGGACTTGGCGCAGCTCCATCAGCAGAGGCAGAGCTCCCTGGTTTCACGCAGGGAGCTGAGAATAGCCCTGTACTCTGCACTCCGGTTTGTGTCTGCCCTCTCCCAGTGCCCAGCTCTGAAGCACGGTCTTCACACCTGGGCCCCGTACTTGAGGGGAGCAGAGACCAACTGCTGTGCATTCAGAAGCAGGTATCTGGAGAGCAGGGAACCTAGAGATATTTCCACCAGGGAGCACATGGGGAAGCCGGGACTGTTTCCCCTGATGGAAGGCTCTCTCTGAATTTGTAAAAGAAAGGAAATAGGCTTCTTCATTGAGATCGAGAGCTGAAGCATCAAGAGATAAAAGCAGGTTTTGGAAAACATAAGAAAGAGTTTTCTAAAATATGTCTGAAGATGGAAGAGGCTACTCTGAAGGTGGCAGCTCCCTGTCCCTGGGCCTTCACGTAGTTTCCACTGGACAACTCCACACTCCAGGGAGGCCATGGAGGAGATTCAAGAACTCATGATGGGGCCGGGCGCGGTGGCTCACGCCTGTAATCCCAGCACTTTGGGAGGCCGAGGCGGGCGGATCATGAGGTCAGGAGATCAAGACCATCTTGGGCAATATGGTGAAACCCCGTCTCTACTAAAAATACAAAAATTAGCTGGGCATGGTGGCACGTGCCTGTAATCCCAGCCACTCGGAAGGCTGAGGCAGGAGAATTGCTTGAACCAGGGAGTCAGAGGTTGCAGTGAGCCGAGATCGCGCCACTGCACTCCAGCCTGGGCGACAAGAGTGAGACACCGTCTCAAAAAAAAAAAGAAAAAAAAAAAAAGAACTCATGATGGGATCGTACCTCAGAGTTTTTCCAGCCCCAAAACACTCTGACCCAATTCAACAACTCCCTTAACTCCACTAAAAACTGCAGTGTTCAATACTCTGACCAGAAAAGGATATGGAAGCTCAAGAACTGGTTTTCAGTCACGTCCTATTTACACTCAACTTGAACACTGGCCAAAGAATCAGTCGGCTGAAGAGGCCTGCGTGTGTGGAGGAGGAATGCTGAGGAGACATTGGCCCCAGAATGGACACCGTCAGCTTGTAAGTCCACTAGTCAATTCCAACAGAAAAACCCCAAAAACAGAAACAAACCGGAGGCAAACAGCCCACACCGAGAGGTAAGCAGTTTCTAACTGGGAACTCAATTTCATCCTGCCCATGAGAAAAGCACAAAAAAGGTGATTTTCCAGATTCCACTTGCAGCCGTAGAGATGTGGGACAAATTTAAAAACGAGTCACAATTAACAAAGGATTTCCTAAGTGTGGTGTTGAGCCAGGAAACCTGCCCTGCGTCGCCCATGCTGTGACTGATGCGTGGGCCCCTGAGGATGCCTCCCCGTGATCCCTCGGGCCTTTGCTTCCTCCTCTCCCTCCCACTGTCTCCCCCAACACAGGCAGGCTCCAGGCCGGGACTCCACACTGCAGGCAGAGTCGGGCCAGGGTGCGGCTGAGTGACGGAGCGCCTGGTGAGGGACAGAAGAATCTCTGAGCGGCCCCAAGCAGTGGGGTTCTGGCAGAGCACCGCTGACCCGTCATGGAAGGAGGGGAGCAAACAAGAGGGGCAGGGAGGGAGGCAGCTGTGTAGCAGGCCTGGGGTGGTCTGGCTTATGCACAGTCATTTCTAACGCCAGATCCCCGTCTCTGCACTGACACCGGGGGTGGTGAGTGGCACACTCGGTCCCCCAGTTACAGGAAAGGTCCCTTCCATCCTGGGGACCCAACTCATGAGGGCCCAGAAGGAAGGAGCCACAAAGGTCTGGATGGTTTATCCCCCTGGCCCGCCTGGCCCTCAAGACACACTTCCTTCGGCTGCAGCCTCGCCGATTCCCGAGCTGTTTCCTGCTGCTTTTCTCATTTCATGAACTTCTTTTGAACAATTTCCTGTTCCTTTTTCTTTCTATGCTCCTCTTCCTGGCTCTGTAGCCCTTGAAAAGAAGCAAACAAACAGATAAGGGTCAGCATCTGAGGCCAGACCCTAAGGCCCTTCCCAGCCCTCTCCAGAGCGTGATGTGGCCCCGTCTGGCTAAGAGCACCAGACGGCGGTGGCTGGAGCACCCCGTGCCACTGCAAACGTGACCAGGAACATGGGTCTGACAGCTCTGGACACACACAAGCAGACGGGAAAGGCGCCTGCCCACTGCCCCCACCCCTGCAAGCACACACCTGCTCGCCAGGAGCAAGGGCAGCGCCGGCCCTCCTCGGGAGAAGCTCCAAGGCCTGTCCCTAGTCCTGCCTCAGGACTTTGCTCGTGAGGGGTCCTCAAGGCCACTGTCGCCCAGACCTTTAGCTATACAAAAGTAAGTGGTATGGTTCATCCCTTCTTGGCTAATGAGGTTTGACCACAAACCAAAATATAAAATGCCCAACTGATTTCAAGGAATTCAGTTCAGACAAAGGGCTAAAGGGTGGTGACTCCAGGCCGTGAGAGGGAAAGACAAGGCCGGAGCATCTGAGCCTTTGATGGGGCCCACCTGCGGCCAGGTGTGTAGCACTTAGAGAACATGTTCTAAAAAGAGAAATAAAGGTAATTTATTTGAGAAGTCGGTGCTTGAGAACACTGTGCTTCTCCTGAGGACTGACTTGCTTCCCCTGAGGACTGACTTGCTTCCTTCTCTCTGACAATGACGGCTCCATAAAGGATGACAATCTCCCTTTTCACACTGGCTGTGTATCTGCGTGGCTGCGTGGCTGCGTGGCTGCGGGGCTGCGGGGCTGCGGAGCATGTTTTGCCACCAGGCGTGCCTTTATGTCTTTTTCTATGAGGTCTACACTTTCATCTTCTACACATTTACCCCCTGGCCCTGAGTGTCTACTTGGTTTTGTTTTTTCACCTTTGTGTCATTTTAGTGAACACCTCAAATTCTCTGAGGGCTGTGACAGGGGACTGAGGAAGTGGATGATAATAGATATCCACAATCATGGTGTGAGCAGGTAACACTGCTTGAGTGCTTACTGTGTGCCAGGTACTGTTGGAAGCTGTTCCTGTATATAAGCTCACTTGGTGCTCACAACAACCCTCGAGATAGGTGTATTTCCATGGATAATGTATCCAGCCATGTGCTGGATCCTCTCACCCTCATTTCAGAGGAGAAGTCTTGGGCCCAAGTGGTTAAGTGCCCACAGGTGGTATCTGGCAGTGCTGGGTTTTGCACCAGGGCTGTTCCTCCCACAGCTGATACCCTTAACCACTGCATAATACATGGAAATAAGAGGGGAAGATGAATGAATGGCCTAACTCATGGACAATGGGTAAACTGCCCAAGCTAAAGTCAGAGGTTAGCTCCTAATGAGCTTCCGTATTTTTCTTGAGAAAGCTGGTCACCCAAGGTCTCCAATAAAATATGCTACTACAAACACACTTTCTATCTCAACAAACACTCCAGTTCTCTGGTCCAATTCCAGAGCAATATGACTAAAAACTGCCATTTGTTGAGTCCTTGCCTTGTGACAGACACTGTGAAGGGCATATTTACTCATTCACTCATTGATCCAACACCCTAAAACCTAGTCATCATCTTTCCAGATACTGTGCCAGCCCCTAAACGAGGTATGTGCTCCCGGGCAAGTCATTTAACCCCTCTGTGCTGGATTCTCTCGCCTTTAAGATGGGAAACTACCATATCCGCCTTCCTACCTTATATGGTGGCAGTGCAGATCGGGAATCAGCACATGTAAAGCACTTAGAATAGTGACTAACCTCTAATAATTGCTCAGTTAATGTCAACTGTCACTGCTGCTGCTGCTGCTATTACCTGACGAGGACAACTACATAAAGCAACTTGTTTATCTACTGAAAGTAATCATAGTAGCTTTTACTATACAAGAGACTGGAAGGTAACATCTCCATCCTAAAGGTTCTAAGTCTCATTCTCCCAATAAATCAATTAGTCCTATATGCAAATGGGCAAGCCTCAGAGCCGCAGAGCCAGACTCACTAGACGAGCACAGTGTGTTACTCATGCTGCCAAAAGCTTATAAACAGCTCCGTGGAGGAGGAAACATCCTGCTTGTTTTTCATTCTCCCTCCTCCCCCACTCCCCTGAAACCTAGCAATAAGCCGAGGTCTGCTTTCCCCATCAAGAGTGTAGATCTTAATACAAAAAGTCACTGACGAAAGGAAGGAAATTAATAAAAAGAACAAAAGACCTTACATTTTTCATCCCTTTATGTGAAATCTATTTTTTCTCTCAACAATAAAAACAACTGCCTCCCTATAAACGGTAAGGATTAAAACGTTTAGCATGGGGCTGCCAAAACAACTCCCTGAACCCCAAAAAATTACTGAGAAACTTCTAATGTGCCTGTACTAACGTATGTACCAACAATAGAAGAATTCCTAAATCTATAAAGAAGATTAACTATGTTATGATAGCTTATATCACGTTTTTACACACTTCATCTCCTTTCTTTTCTATAAAGCCTTGTGAGGTGCATGTTCTTATCCTCATTTTATAAGTCAAGAAACGGAAGCTCGGGCAGGACAAATAATTGATGAGCTCATATAATGAGAAAGCAAGAATGGGGTTCAGGTTTGGGGCTCTAAATTCATTACCCTGTTCCACTCACTGTGTGTGATGTGGTTTGGCTGTGTCCCCACCCAAATCTCACCTTGAATTGTAATCCTCATAACCCCCACGCATCGTGAGAGGGACCTGGTAAGAAGTGATTGGATCATGGGGGCAGTTTCCCCCACGCTGTTCTAGTAATAGTCAGTTCTCATGAGATCTGATGGTTTGATAAGCATCTGGCATTTCCCCTACTGGCCCTCAGTCCCTCCTGACCCCTGGGAAGAAGGTGCCTGCCTCTCCTTTGTCTTCTGCCATGATTGTAAGTTTCCTAAACAATGTGGAACTGTGAGTCGAAACCTCTTTCATTTATAAATTACCCAGTCTCGGGTATTTCTTCGTAGCGGTGTGAGAACAGACGAATACAGTGTGTCTCCCACTGAACTCTTGGGATTCAGGCTACGATTGGTCTGTCCTTTGGGTCTCTGAAAAATTGGCTTCCATCTGTTGTGGCCAGTGCCAGAAGGTCTGGTTCTAGGAATCCAAAAAGGTTAGGTCATTTTCAGGAATCCAGGGGACTCAAGTCCCTCCAGAATGATCCAAAGCTCTGCTATGGTTGCAAACAGGAAGGGAGTGAAACTACCAAGGAGCCCAGAACCCAACTGTTACCCACCCTGGTCCCCAGGAAAGGGGCAATTTGGGACCAACTAGGACTCTACCCCTCAACAGTCCAAGACTAGAAGGGAACCAGTGTGAAGGCTGAATGGTCAGAAAAAAACTGGAAGGCCTGACACTTCCCAGGATCGAAGGGCTATGTGATCCACTTGGCTGCCCTAGACCATCTGTGAGGCATATCATTTTGAGAGAAGAACACTGCCTTAAATTCTGGAATGAAAATCTTTTGTTAGAATACAGGCTGAATTTATAATCTACAAAGGAAGAGAAAGAGAAAAGACACACAAATGGCCTAGTTTGTGCAACACTGTCCAGCACACTTAAACTCATTTAATCAGCATCATTGAGCTATGAGCAAAGACAACCATCAGAGCAAGATACACAGGTGGGCCCTGCACAAAGACCACCCGTGTAAGGCCCTGTGTCGGTCCTTTTATTAAGAGTGAGTTAATTCAGTGCAAAAGAACAATGGACAAGCTTGGCAATTGCTTCAGTTTTACAACAGACGATATCAATTTTTCACATAACTTTCCAAAATGCTAAATGTGACTGGCTTTTAGCCCAATATGTGGAGCTCTCCATACCTCAGTTGACCTCCTTTTGGATTTCAAGCTGTCAAACACCTTTAGATCATAACAAAGGGCTAACTGAACGGCATGATCTTTAAACCGAAAACATGATTAAACCTTTGCCTTTAAACTGAAACCATGATTAAAATCCCAACTCACCTTGTTGGCTGACACCATACCTCAGACTATCTTAATAAATGGCCTCCTAATTCTGGAAGTTTAAGAAAATCCTCAAAATGGTTTGGAAGAACCCCCCCAAGAAACATTTAAGTCTCCCTGATTAGGTCTACTTACCCAGAAACAAGGTCTCTTCAGGACTCACCGGAGAACCAACAGAATTCCTTCCCCACCCCACACACAGCCGGTAAAACTTCCAATATTTGAGTCTATCATAGACACAGTAGGCTGGGAAAATATTCCAGGGAACTTAGCATTCTGAAAGAAGTGACTACTTCAATTAGGAAAAAAATCTGAAGTTCCCTTTCAGGCCAAATCATTCTCATTCATCTTTACCAATAAAATGGTCTACATTCAAATGGTAAGTTTGATCCCCGCATCATCAATCATCCTTTCAGTTTCGTTTGATCAAATGTTGGGCATTTATACAGCTCATTTTACAAACCATACAAATCAGAAGGTAGAAGTCAGGAGGGCCTGGCACCCCTCATGCCTGCCCTCTTGCAGAGCAGTGACAGCTCCACAAATGACCTCACTCCCATTAAAGAAAAAAGGAAGGAAAGAAGGAAGAAGGAAGGAAGGAAGGAAGGAAGGAAGGAAGGAAGGAAGGAAGGAAGGAAGGAAGGAAGGAAGGAAAAAAGAAAAAGAAAAGGAAAGGAAAGGGGAAGGAACAGAGGGTGCTGGAGAATAGGGAAGAAAGGTCTGTTCTGGGAAACAGAACAGTAGGGGTTTTGGAATGCTCAGTGTCTTAGAACTTAGACTAAAGACTGGAAACACCAGCTCAGGGAATATTCCATCGTGGTCATCTGATTGCTGGAACATGAAACTTGGAGCACATCTGCAGTGAAATGGGGGAGGAATAAAGATACTGAAAGGACATTCTCCAGAACCATGAGGACAGAGAGACTTCAGCAGAAAATAGGCCACTAGTATTTTGGGGTCCTGCTTCAGGAGCAAAACTTTGGTCCAGAGAGGTTTAGGGCTGGGTTTTTTTTTTTTTTTTTTTCACTTTGATTTCTGAGGTCACTGAAGGACCATGGGTAATAAGGTCAATTTGTGCTGATTTATAAAAATCAGCCTTCTGACTTCAGAGCTGTGGCACACATTATTTTAGACTCTGAGGTCATGTTAGTCACAGGTGTTGGGCTGGCCTGGCCTGAGGAGCAGGTCGACACACCCTCTGGGCGCTGAGGGACACAATGGGGACGGCATCTTCACTTTCTTCCTTCCGGTCCTTCCTGAGTGCTTGCAAGTGAGCCCAACCCTTACTTCTCTAAAAGAGGCTCACACCCCATCTACATACCTGGACACTCCCTCTCCTTGCACAACAAGACCAGAGGCCTCTCCCTTCCCTTTCCCACCTCTCTTCAGTCACTTTCACTCAGACCTTTCTTTTCCTGTGAAGGCTTCCTGCTCCCTTGGCCCTCAAGCTCTGAAGACCAGTCCACAGCTTTCTGGCTCTAGGGTCCCTGCAACACCTACCACGAGCTCTCAACCTCCCCTCTCACCTAAGAAGTCCAGGCCACTGTGCTCCTAAGTGCCTGGACCGCCTCCTCAGCTGCCTTCTGCTACATGATCAAGTTTCCCCAGAACTTTTGAAAGCCACCACAGAGCTGCTCCCAGACATGTCATTCCCCTCTTCAAAACCTTCCATTGCTGGTTCCCTCACCACAACCCAACAACTGGAACTCTTCGTTGAGCTTCACTGTGCTCTCCAGGGATCCTCAAGTCCAGACCATTCTTTCAGGTCCATCCCACAGAAGAACGCATGCAAAAGTACTTAAGTCACTGGATGAAAATGCAAACCATATTACTCCATTGGTTAAAATGCCACCAGTGGTTGCAAATCCCACTGTCCCCAGGATAAAGTCCCCAATCCCTCGCACAGCTTTCAAGGCCCTGAATAGCCTGACCGGGGTGTGCTCCAGGCAGCTAAGGCTTCAGCTTCTGGGGCACATCAAGCTCCTTCCACCCACAAAGCTTTTCCACTCAATATGCTCTCGGCCTCACTCTTCTTCCTCCGTGTCTTGGCCTGGCTAAGTCCCACCCACTTGTCTCACCTTAAATGTCACTGTCTGGAGGAAGTCTTTAGTAACAATCCCCCCCCACACACCCTGAATCCCCCACTCGGGCAGCACCTGGACTTCCCCTTCGTTGCCCTTATTGCAGCTGTTCCCATTATCTGCTTAATGTCTATCTTCACTGTACATTCCATGAGGACAGAGACCGACCCCATCTGTTTTTCTAACCCCCATGTCCTTAGCACCTAGGCAAGATCTGGCTCACAGGTGAAACTGAATAAATCTTTGCTGAGTGAGTGAAGTGCTGGTGATAACCTCTCCACGGACCTGGGCCCTCTAACCCACAACACTGGCTGAAGTTTTTTTTTTTTTTTTGAAACAGACTCTTGCTCTGTCACCCAGGCTAGAGTGCAGTGGCGCGATCTCGGCTCACCGCAACCTCCACCTCCTGGGTTCAAGTGATTCTCCTGCCTCAGCCTCCTGAATAGCTGGGATTACAGGTGCCCACCACCGTGCCCAGCTAATTTTTATATTTTTAATAGAGACGGGAATTAGCCAGGCGTGGTGGCGGGCGCCTGTAGTCCCAGCTACTCGGGAGGCTGAGGCAGGAGAATGACTTGAACCCGGGAGACGGAGCTTGCAGTGAGCAGAGATCCCACCACTGCACTCCAGCCTGGGCCGCAGAGCAAGACTCCATCTCAAAAAAAAAAAAAAAAGATAGAGACGGGGTTTCACCATATTTGTCTCGAACTCCTGACCTCGTGATCCACCCGCCTTGGCCTCCCAAAGTGCTGGGATTAAAGGCGTGAGCCACCATGCCCGGCCAGCTGAAGCTTTGCTTCTCACTCCTCCCAACTGTCTCTTCTGTGTCCCTTCTCTTGATACCAGCCTCCACTGTTATTATTAATATTCATTCAATTTTTTTTCTGAAAATTCCAATTTATCTGTATAGTGCTATGAGGAGCCCTAAGAATACAGTCAATCAATCAGACAGGCAATCTCTTCCTAATAACTTGTCCTAGTGTTTACTGGAGCGACTGAAGAGCTGAAACATACAGAAGGGGAAAGAAATGGGATTCCACCCCTGGACATTATTCCTTTAAGCTTCTTTGATTTTAATTGCTTTGCATGCACATTGAGGTAGAGTCCCAGTTGATTGAAACTTTTTTCATTTGCAGCTAGAAGTGAATGATTCAGGCTGCATTCCACCGAACATGCTCTTAATATTATGGAAAGACCCGGGGCTGAGGACATGCCTGGACATGATTAACAAAGTTGTGCATTTGTAAATTAGATGATTTCCAGGAAATATTTAAAACCTCCCTTTCTTCCTAAACACTTCAAAGAGGTGTCCTTGTTTATTTTCAACCTTTTACCCCCAACCTTTTTTTTAAAAAAGTAAATCCCTCCTCTCTCACAAAGTCTCTACAAAAGAAAGCCACTGTGATATGAAATCCATCCAAAGACATGAGTTCAACTAACGTCTCAACGAGCTTGCTTGGCTCTATATTTAGATGTGAGAGTAAACATCTGACTCTGGAGAAGGACTCATCCCAGAGACACCACTCCTGAACAGGAAAAAAGTCTAGGGGATGGAATTAAATTAGTTTAGCTCCCAAAAGAATAGTTAATAGAAACAGTCTCTAACCAGCTAACCACAAATATAGGATTTGCTCTTTACTCCTTGGAGAAGAAAATCCAGGGAGTGAGGCTGAAACAATCCTCTGTGCTGCCCAGAGGTAGGGCTCAAACACGGGACCAAATTGAGGACTGGCTAAAACAGGTCTGGAGTGGGAACAGCTTTCCATAAGACACACCCACTAATGTGCCATGTCAGTTTAGCATTGCCATGGCAACAACCTGACAACCAGAAGTTACCACCCTCATCCTAGAAATTTCTGCATAAACTGACCCTTAATTTGCATATAATTAAAATGGTATAAATATGAGTGCAGAATTGCTGCTGAGCTGATACTCTAGGCATGCTGAGTGCTCTAGGTACTCCTCAAGGAGCAGTACCTCTGCTGCTGCTGTGTACTGGCCATTTCAATCAAAGTCGCTGCTTAACACACTGGTGCACTCTCGAATTGTCTCCTATGAGGAGCCAAGAACCCTCTTGGGCTAAGCCTCAATTTTGGGGCTTGCTTGTCCTGCATCATAACTGCTAGCTCCCATATCTGTCCACTGGGTGGTATCTCAGAATCAGAGACTCTCAAGGTTGAATGGCAACATTTCTTCCAATTTCCACACCACTGCTCCATTTCCCTCCACAGCCAACTTTGTGTAAACATTAAGCACTTACACAAAAATTTTGTGACAACATGACAGAGATGCAGAACCAGGAGGTGCAGCCTCATACAGTAACATCCGATGGCTATGGGTTTAAGCTCGGCGCTAGCTTTCACCAGGTGTGTGATCTTGAGTCACTAGATTTCTTTGAGCCTCATTTTCCTCACACAATGATAATACCAAAGAATAAGAATACGCATATCCATTGAGCACTTACTATGTGCCAGTCCCTACACTGAGTGATTTACATTGATTAACTTATTCAAATTTCCCAAGAGCTTTATGAGGTGGATACTATATTATTTCCATTTATAGAGTAACACATGTGACTTGCCCACTAAGCTACACAGACACCAGGGCAACCTCTAGGAATCCAGGGTTTAATTTGATTTTAAAATAAAAACCAAATTATTAAAATAAAAACAAAAGTTTAAAAAAGTACTAAGCAAAGCCATCAATGACCACACATTGCAAGTGAGACAGACATCATAACTTGTCCCAGACAAGTTACAAAACAAACAAAACAGCAACAACAACCATTACAGGGAAAATACCAGAAATCAGAGTTTGATATAATAGCAAAACATCCAATTTTCAACAAAAAAGGAATTATAAGAGATTTAAAAAATAGGAAAGTGTGACCCACACTCAGGAAATAAAGCAGTTAATCAAAACTATTTTTTAATGCATTCAGATGTTGGATTTAGCAGACAAATGCTAGAGTTAGTTCAATAACTGAAATGAAAAGCTCACTAAAGGGACTCAATGGAAGATTCAAGATGGCAAAAGAATCAATGAACTTGTACATAGATTAAATAGAAATTATCCAGTCTGAAGAATAGAAAAAAAGTCAAAGAAAAATGAACCAAGACACCTGTGGGACAACTTCAAACATACCAATATACATGCAATGGGAGACCTAGAAGGAGTGGAGAAAGACAAAATAGGTGAAAAAAATTTGTAGAAAAAAATGACAGAAAATTTCCCAAACTTGATGTAAAACATTAATCTGCACATCCAAGGAACTCAACAGACCCCAAGTAGGATAAATACAAAGAGTTCTATACCTAGACACAGTATAATCAAACCTGTGAAAGACAAAGAGAAAGAAAAAAGTCTTGAAAGCAGCAAGAGAAAAACAATTCATTATGTACAAAGGCATTTCAATATGATTAATGGCTGCCTTCTCATTAGAAACAATGGAGACCAGAAGGCAATGTGATGACATAAAGTATTGAAAGCAAAAAGCAAAAAGAAAACATCAACCAAGAATTCCGTATCTAGCAAAACAATTCTTCAAAAATGCAAAAAAAAAGAACATTTCTGTATAAACAAAGACAGAGAACAAACTGTTTGCAGATTTACCTTATAAGAAATACTAAATGAGGCTGGGCATGGTGGCTCATGCCTGTAATCCCAGCACTTTGAGAAGCCAACGTGGGTGGATCATTTGAGGTCAGGAGTTCAAGACTAGCCTGGTCAACATGGTAAAACCCCACCTCTACCAAAAATACAAAAGTTAACCAGGCTTGGTGGCGTGCACCTGTAGTCTCAGCTACACAGGAGGCTGAGGCAAAATAATCACTTGAACCCAGGAGGCACAGGTTGCAGTGAGCCGAGTTATGCTGCTGCACTCCAGCCTGGGTGGCGAAGTGAGACTCTGTCTCAAAAAAAAAAAAAAAAAAAAAAAAAACTAAATGAAATCCTTCAGGCTGAAAGGAAATGATGGCAGATGGTAACTTGTGTCCACAGGAAGAAACGAAGAGCACCAAAAATTTTAAATATATGTACTAATATAAAAGATTGAATATATTTTTCTCATTTCTTAACTTTTTAAAAAGATGTGTAAGTTTGGATAAAGCATAAATTACAACACTGGGTTGTTGGGTTTATAACGTATATAAACATAATAAATATGAAAATAATAGTATGGAAGGGGGAAAGAATGGCGCTTTACGGGAGCAAACTTTCTGTTTTATAGGAATTAAGTTATTAATCTGAAGTAAATGGTGATAAATTAAAATGCATATTGTGAGCCCTAGGGAATCACAAAAAATGACTTTAAAAATACAGTTAAAAAATCAAAAGAAGAATTAAAATGGTACACTAAAATATACTTATTTAACACAAAAGAAGGCAATCAAAAAATAACAGAGGTACAAAAAAGAAGGCATATAGAAAACTAATAACAAAATGTCAAATGTAAACCCAGCCAAATCAATTAATTATATTAAATATGAATGATCTCAACACTCTTAAAGAAAGGCAGGGATTATCAGATTGGATTTTTAAAAAGTATACTTAAACTACAGTTGACCCTTGAACAATACAACTTTGAACTGTGTGGATTCACTTAAACATGAATTTTTTTCAATAAAAGTTATACCAAGTGTGCCTACCTCTCCTGCCTCCCCTTCCACCTCCTCCACCTCTGCCACCCCTCAGAAAGAAGACCAATCCCTCCTTTTCTCTTTCTTCTCATTCTATTCCACATGAAGATGACAAAGATAAAGATCTTTATGATGATCTGCTTCTACTTAATGAATAGTAAATATATTTTCCCTTCCTTATGGTTTTCTTTAAAAAATTTTCTTTTCTCCAGTTTACTTTATTATAAGAATACAGTATATATGTAACATACAGAATATGTGTTAATTGACTGTTTATGTTATTGGTAAGGAACCAAGTCAAAAGTAGGTTATTAGTATTTAACTTTGGGGGAAGTCCAAAGTTATGGGGGGTTGGCACCCCAATCCCCATGTTGTTCAAGGGCCAACTGCATAAACTATCTACAAAGGACACACTTTAGATTCAAAGACACAGACAAGTTTAAAGTTTAAAAAAATGGACAAAGCTATACCATGCATACAATAACTATACAATAGCTTGAGTGGCTGTATTAACAAGAGACACAACAGACTTTACAACAAGATCATTAGAGAGAGACATTTTAAAATTATAAAAGGGCCAATACATCAAGAAGATTTAAGAATTACATATGCATACGCACCTAAAAATAGACCTCCCAAATCCATAAAGCAACAACAGAATTGAAAAGAGAAATAGAGAATTCAACAATTATAGTTGGAGATTTCAATACCCTACTCTTGATAATTGATGGAACAGAATATTAGCAAGGATGCAGAAGACTCAATACAATCAAGCAACTTGACCTAACTGACATATATGGAATACTCTACCTAATGATTGCAAAATACACATTCTGCACATTGAAGAACACACAGAACATCCATTCCCTGAGACAGACTACATACTAGGCCACAAAACAAGTCTCAATAAATTTAAAATGTTTGAGGTCGGGTACAGTGGCTCATGCCTGTAATCTAGCACTTTGGGAGGCTGAGGCAGGTGGATCACTTCAGATCAGGAGTTTGAGACCAACCTGGCCAACATGGTGAAACCCGGCCTCTATTAAACAAATACAAAAATTCGCCAGGTGTGGTGGCATGCACCAGTAGTCCCAGCTACTTGGGAGGCCGAGGTTGTAGAATTGCTTGAACCCAGGAAGCAGAGGTTGCAGTGAACCAAGATCACGCCACTGCACTCCAGCCTGGGTAACCAAGTGAGACTCTGTCTCAAGAAAAAAAAAAAAATTAAACAATTTATCAATTCTTCAAAAAAATCTTTCAGAAAAGGAACACTTCCCAACTCATTCTATGAGACAAAAGAGAGCACAAGAAAACTGTAATTCCTAAACTCTATCTATCAATACAAAAAGAATTACATAGAATAGCTAAGTGAAGATTTATCCCAGGAATGCATGGCTGGTATAACATCTGAAATTAATGTAATACCCACAGACAATTGTCATATGTAAATTGTGAGAGACTGAATCCTTTCCTCCTAAGGTTGGGAACAAGGCAAGGACGTCTGCTATTGCCATTTCTATTCTACACTGTCCTAGAAGTTCTAGCTAGTGGAATAAGGCAAAAAATAAAATGAATTAACTAAGCAATTGATTAATTAAAAGCATCAGATTGGAAAGGAAGAAGGAAACTGTCTTTATTTACAGATGACATAATCCTGTATGTTAAAAATCTCAAGGAATCCACACAGAAAAAGGAGTTTAACAAGGTTTCAGGATATAAAATCAATCACACTTCTATATACTAGCAACAAAACAATCAAAAAAAGAAATTCAAAAAAATCCATTCCTGGCCAGGCACGATGGCTCACACCTGTAATCCTAGCACTTTAGGAGGCCAAGGTGGGCAGATCACCTAAAGTCAGAAGTTCAAGATCAGCCTGGCCAACGTGGTGAAACCCTGTCTCTACTAAAAATACAAAAAAGTTAGCCAGGAGTGGTGGTGTGCGCCTGTAATCCCAGCTACTTGGGAGGCTGAGGCAAGAGAATCGCTTGAACCCGGGAGGTGGAGGATGCAGTGGGCGGAGGTCACACCACTGCACTCCAGCCTGTGCCACAGAGCGAGACTCCGTCTAAAAAAAAAAAAAAAGCCATTCCTAAAATAATAAAATACTTAGGAATAAACTTAATAAAAGGAGTACAAGACTCGCATACTAAAAACTGCAAAACACTGCTGAGAAAACTAAAGAAGATCTAAATAGGTGGAGAGACATTTCATGTTCATGCATTGGAAGCCTCAACACCGTCAAGATGGGAATTCCTCCCAGACTGATATGTAAATTACTATCAAAATCCCAGCAGACTTTTTGGTAGAAATTGATGAATTGATCCTAAAATGTATATGGAAATGCAAAAACTTAAAAAAGCCAAAACAATTTTGTATAATAACAAAGTTGGAAAATTCACACTACTTGATCTTAAAAATAACTACAAAGCCACAGAAATCCAGACGGTGTGATACTGGCACAGGAAAGGCTTATAGATCAATGCAATAAAATTGGGAATTCAGAAATAAATCCTCACATTTATAGTCAATATATTTTCAACAAAAATGTGAAGGTAATTATTATTACTTATCACTATTGTAATTCAACGGGTAAAGGACAGTCAATTAGATATACAAATGCAAAAAAATTAATAAAAGAAAAGAATTTGGACCTTTATCTCACATCATACATAAAAATTAACTCAAAATGGATCATAGATCTAAATGTAATAGCTAAAACTATAAAACTTCTAGAAAACAAATGTTGCAGGAGAAAATATTCCTGACCTTGGGTTAGGCAAAGAATTCTTAGATAATGACACAAAAAGCCCTATCCATACAATAAAAAAATTGATAAACTGAACTTCAACATTAAAAATTTTGTGCATAAAAAATAAATCAATATTAAAATGAAAATAAGCCACAGACTGGGAGAAAAATATTTGTAAATCGTATATCTTATAAAGAACTTGCATCCAGGTTATATAAGGAATGCTTGCAACTCAGTAATAAGAAGACGAACACCCCAATTAATATATATATTATATATATATAAACAACTCAATTATATATCTATTCAGATATTTCACCAAAGATATGCAAAGGGCTAACAAGAACATGAAAAGATGCTTCACCTGACTAGTCTTTAAGAAAATGCAAATTAAATGAGATACCTTTATACACTCCCAGAATGGCTGTAGTAAGAAGACTGACAATAGCAAATGTTAGAGAAGTTGTGGAAAAACTGGAGCCCTCATGCCTCCCAGAAGGGAATATAAATGAGTACAAGCACTTGAGAAAACAGGCAGTTTCCTACAAAGTTAAACATAAATTTCCCATATGACCCAGCAATTCTACTCCTAGGAATTTACCCAATAAGAATGAAAATATATGTTCACACAAAGATAATGCTCACGACAGCATTATTCATAATAGCTCCAAAGTGAAACCGGTCCAAACGTCCATCAACTAACAAACACACGAACAAAACGTGGGACAGCCACACAATGGAACACTGTGTAACAAATTGAAAGGAATAAATGACTGATACATGCTACAACATGGATGAACCTCAAGAACAACATTATGCTAAGTAAAGAACCCAGGTGGAAAAGATTACATATTATATGATTCAATTTACATGAAATTACCAGAAAGGGCAAATTTAGAGAACCAAAAAGCAGATCAGTGATTGCCCATGGCTAGGGTAGGAGCAGAGATTAACTTCAAACAAGCAGAGGAAACATTTGGAGGAATGGAAAGGTTCTAACACCGAATTGTGGTCGTGGTTACATAAACCTATAAATTTACTAAAACCACAGAATTGTGCATTTGCAATGGATGAATGTGATGGTATAAACTGTACCTCAACAAAGCTGGGTTTTTTTTTTAAAAGGACAATGTACATAAAAATTCTCTTTAAACCATAAAACAGCAGCTGTTACTACAATGGTTGTTGACGTTAAATGCTATGGAGGGCCACTGAGAACCCTCCAGTGATAAAGCTGGCTACCGTTCTCATAAATGTTCTCTTAAGTGAATTCATATAAAGCACTTAGAACAATGCCTGGGTCTCAGTAAGCCTTCTGTATTAGCAGTTATTATTATTACAGTCATACTCAATGTCATTGCTATTACCAGCAAGACATGCCTGGCTTGAAGTGCTCTGAGAAGGTGGCCTGGCTTCCCCAGGGGTGACCACCACGGATTCCTTCCTCAGAGTCGCTCAGGCGCCTAAGACTGTTCCAGTCAGAAGTCCCACTGAGAAGTGGCCGCAGTTCTTCCACTGGACAGAGCCTCTTTCAGCTTTAAAAAAATAAAAGGACTCTCTTTTCTGTGTGTTCCTTTGTTCCTGGAACCATCTAGATCCCTGGGGAGAGGCTACCCGTGGTTTGTTGTAAATGAAAGAGATTCATGAATGAAAAGCTTTTGTGCCCTGGTCCCTTCACTCTGGCAGTTCCCCTACTGCCCAGCCCGGGAACTCCATTCATACAGCTCTCAGGAACAGCTCGGAGGGCCCGGGCAGTGCCGTGCTGGGAATGCTCTTCCTGCACCCCAGCTGGAGCCCCTTCCAGCAGGCTCACCCCTCTGGCCTGCAGGAGTTCAGCACCGCCAGCCACACCTGCCATGGTCTAGACACAGTCCTGTTGCATTGAAGTATCCAATGAGCTCCAGTGAGCCTGAGCCTGGTCAGGACCTCCAAGTCACAGTCCCTCTTTCTCCTCACTGCCTCAGTCTCCCTGCCTGGCACTGCCATTCCCTCCAGGCTAGCCCGAGGCTGCAGCCTGCTTGCCCAGGTCACCTGCCACTGCCAGTCTCCAAGGCCCCTCAATGTTGGCTTCTTCAATCACCCAGGAAGCAGCCAAGCCCTGGAGGACAGCGCCGTCCAGCAGAACCCTGTGCCTGATGGAAACGCTCCGCACCCGCACTGTCCAATAGAGTAGCTGCTAGTCACATGTGGCTACTGAGCGCTTGGAATACAGCTAGTGTGACTGAGGAGCTGAATTTTTAATTTTCTTTACTTTTAATTAATTAAACAAAAATGGCCACATGTGGCTAGCATCTGTCCTATAGGACAACAGAGTTCTGCCAACTGAAAGTGGCCTTGCCATCCTGCAGGGTGCGGCAGGAAGCAGGGCAAGATGCTCCCTAGCCCTGTGGCACTCACCCTGCCCTATTCCCCACAGCCTACAGGGTCCTGCCTCCTCCCCATCCCCGCCAGCATCACTACTGGGCCAACAACCCCGACATGTACAAATAGTACCCCTGGGGCAATAGGTATGCCCCCTCAGAGCTGAGCACTGCTCCTGCAGTCAGCCTTTCAGCAACAGATCTCAGGGGAAGAAAACATAACACAGGCAGATAGGCGGAGAAAGAGACCAGAGATGAGTCAGGCAGGCGATGAAAACATAGGGAGGGAGAAAGGAGGCCTCTGCCTTCTCTGTTTAAATCTGAAAAAATAACCTGCCTGGAATTTTAACTTGCTTGGGATGCAAACTCAGGAGACCCAACCGTGTAAAAGCAAATGTAACAGGATAAGAAAAGAAGATAACTGAAAACGGCTTTGTACAAATTAAAATGCCAAAGTAATAAGGAATATTGGATGAGACAAGACTAAACTGGCTATCAATGTTGGCTGAACAAGTGACAAGTCATTAATTGTCACTTCCTTTAAAAAAAAAAAAGTAGCACATTTGAGGACAGGCAGAGCAGTTAGCAGGAGGAAAAATATTTTACACTGGGACTAGTATATCCTTTTTAAAACCCGGTGTTGTCAATTACCTCACAGCATAACCACCCTGGATAGGAAAAAATCAATATGCACCGAGGCAATTATCTTCTGCACCTCTTGGTACTGAATTGGCAATGAGTTTTCATGGCTCAATTAGCTTGTAACTTAAAACAATAGCAGCTAGTCTCCATTTTCCTCTGGGATATTTATTTACAACAAAAATGTGGCCAGGCACAGTGGCTCACGCCTGTAATCCCAGCACTTTGGGAGGCCAAGGCCAGTGGATCACCTGAGATCAGGAGTTTGAGACCAGCCTGGCCAACAAGGCGAAACCTCGTCTCTACTAAAAATACAAAAATTAGCCGGGCGTGGTGGTGCACGCCTGTAGTCCCAGCTACTCGGGAGGCTGAGGCACAAGAGTCACTTGAACCTGGGAGGCAGAGGCTGCAGTGAGCCAAGATCGCGCCACTGCACTCCAGCCTGGGCAACAGAGTGAGACTCAGTCTCAATTTAAAAAAAAAAAAAAAAAAAGCTATGTTATTTCAAAGTGTCTTCAAAGGACAGACTGAGAACCAAATATTAGTGGCATTATAGTGAAATGTTATTCTGATAAGTATCCTTGGGAAATAATATTAAGAAACACTATGTACCTAAAGATGTTCACAAGCATCATAGTATGGCATCATAAAATGGCAAAAAATTGAAACTATCTAAACAAATTAAAGTCCTATAAAAAAGACAACTATATATCCCGTCCGCTCAGGATCACAATTCTCTGCTCCAGCGAAGCTGCTTGTTCAAGTCACCAATGACCTTCACATTGCTAAATCTAGTCCTCATCCTACTGACCTGCCATCAGCGTTTGACACAACTGGTCAAATACTCTCTCCAGAAACACTGTCCACTTAGTCTCACACATTCCCCTCTAGGCCAGCAGCTTATGGAAAAGCGAACCAGAGGCTTCCTTCCCAAGGCTAGGGAAGAGCTCTACTGGCCTCACCCACCAGTTAACTTCTGCACGAGCTGGAGAGACAAGCTGAGTTCAGCTGCGCCTGGCTCACACGCTAATCGGGCTTCACCCTCGGCTCTCCCCTATCCATGAAATCGGACTAGCAGAAGTGTGACTTATTCACAACAGAAGATAATCCAATAACCACTCAACTGAGGCTTGGGGATAGAGCATATATGAGGTTTACTCAATTCTGTCTGGCTTGGGTTATAAAAATTAAGGTGCATTTCCTGACCATGGAGCAAGTACTGACACAAACATCTCAGAAGTATGCTTGGGAAGGAAGGGATGCAAACTCAGGGAGCAATATTGGCATGGGTGATTCATAAAAAGGATGAGTAACTTGAAGGAGGAAGTAGATTCAAAGAGAAGACTCATGCAAAGTCGAACTTCTCTTCCCACTCCCCCTGAGTTTCAAAAAAGAGTCAGTCAGGAACAAGTTGTCCGGGCACTTCATCCCGGAAGGCCAGGGGCCTGAAGAAAGTTCTAGGCCATGCTATATCCACAGTAAGAAAAGCCTCTTGGGTACAAATATTCAAGGGCCTGGGAGTCAGGGGAGCTGGGATGTAAAAACTTCCCAACCGAAGCCACCCTAACAAAAGCAATAACAGCAAACGCTTACATGGTACTTATCCCGTGTAAGGTATCATCTAACTCCATATATTAATTCAATTAATGTTCACAAACTGATAGTATTATTTTCCACTACTAAGTGGCAGGGCTGCATTCAAACCCAGGCAGTGTTTTTTCAGTGCTCGTAACTATTATGCAACACACAACAAAACCTTCAACTATGAACACCTCTATCACCAGAGAACCGTTCTACAGTGTTCACAAGGTCATGGCACCCGCAGTTCTTGACAGCCATTTCAATGAAAGTCACTCTTTCATCTCAGGAAGCAAAATATCCCTCCCCTCACCACTGAGAATATCAATTGCTTCGAGAAACGCAGACAAGAGTGGCAGAGTTCTCCGACGGGAAGGCAAAAACCAATTCTCAAGTTAATAAGTAAATATTGGGAGGCATTTTGCCAAGAACACTGGAAAGAACAAACCTCTATAATAATCAGCTGATGGAGACTTGCTGCTTAGAAACAAATTTTGATCAACTGCATTACCAGGGACTGAAAGGAATCTGCAGGCTGAATGAAGGGCTAGGATATGTGGGTATGATGGCTGGGCCCAGGGAGTCAACATAGGATAGGAATGAGCATGGCCCGCAGGAGAGGCCGTGTGGGCAGGGCTAGGAGTCCAGACCCAACAAGCTCAGTCTGTTTCCCTGGCCACCGGCTCGAGGTTCCCATCATTACCCTGGGAAAGAGGAACTATCCAAAGCTCCTCCAAATCTCCTTTGCGGTTGCGTATGCCTACATATAAAAAGAATCTTTTTGGGCCGGGCGCGGTGGCTCACACCTGTAATCCCAGCACTTTGGGAGAGTGAGGCAGGTGGATCACAAGGTCAGGAGATCGAGACCATCCTGGCTAACACGGTGAAACCCTGTCTCTACTAAAAATACAAAAA
The DNA here is from genome assembly GCF_000001405.40 of Homo sapiens. Lineage (NCBI taxonomy): Eukaryota > Metazoa > Chordata > Mammalia > Primates > Hominidae > Homo > Homo sapiens. The sequence goes on from NC_000003.12 coordinate 195,199,461, forward strand.
ATTAGCCAGGCATGGTGGTGGGCGCCTGTAGTCCCAGCTACTCATGAGGCTGAGGCAGCAGAATGGCGTGAACCCGGGAGGCGGAGCTTGCAGTGAGCTGAGATCACACCACTGCACTCCAGCCTGGGTGACAAAGTGAGACTCGGTCTCAAAAGAAAAAAAAAGAATCTTGTTGCTACCTTCACAAAGGCCTAGAGCTAAGGAGTCTCATAGGGGTTATCATCTATCTGCTCCCATCAGGATTCCAGGTACTCCCAAAGATGGCTGTCCTGACAAAAATCAGGCTGCAGAGATTCCCCAGCCTCGCAGTGCACTTGTGTTGGGCCTTAGATAAGTCCTTTCCCTTCCCTGGGTCCCATGTGTCCACTGAAAATGAGAGCATTAGACTTATGAGCCATGATGGCGTTTCCCCAACTGGTGTTTGGGAAACAATGGTCTGTAAGTCATTTAGGATAATGTAGAAAGGAGCATTCCATGTCAAGTTAAGTTGGGACCTGCTGGTTAGTCAAAGCTAAACAGACTTCCTAACTGCCATTCTTCTCAAAATCTCCAGCATGATGGTGTACACTGTGACCCTCCAAGAAGGGGATTGGAAGCTCTGTGTATCCACATATTTTTCCATCGCTGCTTTTCACATTTCCCATAAAGATCTTTCCTGGAACCTGCCATTTAGGGGATGCTGCTCTGCAAGACCTTCCAAATCTCGCGCTCTAGAAAGCCGTGAAGCAGCGCGGTTCCAGATCTGGCGCTCTGGAAAGCCGTGAAGCAGCGTGGCGAAGCACCCAGGAGCTGTAGTCATTCTGCCTGGGCTTGAACTCCAGCTCTAACCAGCCAGCTGGGTGACCCTGGCCATGTTACTTGAGCTGCTTCTTTATCTGTAAAATGGGATAAATGACCATTCCCACTGCCAAGGGTGGATTACATGAGATAATTCATCCAAGCACACAGTGGGTTCACTGGTAATAATAGTGGTGGTGGAAACAATGGTACTGGAATTCCATTGCTTCTCTGGAATCAAGCCTGGAAAATGCTTCTCCCAGTACTTACTAAAAGACATGCAACAGGACATAGCACTTGCCTTTCATGACCAACTTGGCTCCTCCCAGGCAAGGGCTTTGGCGACCAGGGTTCACTGACCTACAATCGGTTGACTCACATGAACACCCTCACAGCCTGTGCAGGGCAGGAATCTAGGACTATACTGCAACATGCCCCAAACCTGGAAACATCTGTCTAAATTAGGCGGGAAGAAGTGCCAAACAGGTTTACTGTGGCCCCATCAGTTACTCGTTAGTTTAATGATGGCAGTCACTCAGTAGAAAGAGCTGTGGGCCACAAGAAGGAATGCTGGGCTCTGGCCTGTGGTCCAACAGGAGCTCACGGGTCCGCTGGCTCCATCCTCTACCGTGAACAACCCCTCAGGTCTCAGTCTCCCCACCAGTAAAGTTTAGAAGTGAAGAAAATCAGGTTCTCAACTAGAGATGTACATTGAAGTTACCCAGGGTGATTTTCTTGAAATAACCCTGTCCCAGCCCAACCCCAGACCTACGGAGTCAAAAATCTCTATTTTTACTGTATATAAATTTTAACTCAATTTAAAAAAAATCTCTGAGTGCTGGAATCCAGGCAAAGTATTTGATAAAGCTCTCTGGGTAATTCTGATCCATCATCTTGTTCAGAGCCACTGGCCTGGATAACCACAAGCACCTCTCCCAGAATCTTCTAAGAAGTCACTGGACTTCGAGTTCCTCTGTGAAGAGAGTGTCTAACCCACTGCCTTTTAAATCAGTAGCTAGACAAGGCCAGGATTTCCCTAGAGTGCATGTGAGGAAGGGCCCTTGCTCCCAGCAAAGAGGTGCTCTATCTATCCTGGGGTCCCCAGCACACACTTTTAACCCTTCTGCTTCTGGGACATTCCTTACAGCTGCCTGTGTCTCTGGGGGTCCATCTCAACCTCTGCCTTTAAGTCATCCCAATGTATTCTCAAACCTGTGCCAACAAAAGCAAGACTCAGACGCTCCTCTCAAATTCTATACTCACTTTATCCCAAGTCCTATCTTGAGGCTGTTCCTTGTTGATGATCCCATTTCCGTCCCTCTGGACTCAGAAACTGTACTGGAGCCTCAGGTTTCTCTGAAAAGGCTTGGGCTCACTCCAGTGGCTTTTCACGCTTTTGGCTCTGCCAGATAAAACACCCATGCTGGCTGGCCCCTCTAGACCCAACTCCCAGCTGGGCAGATGTACACATTTCAGGGACCATCTAAATTTCACAGGACCTGAGTGCCCAAGGGATAAAGGCATTACAACCTGAGGCCTAGAAGGTCCCAAAGCCATGGTATTATGATTAATTCCAAGTTTGGGACTTAGCTGCTCCTCTGCTCCTCCCCTCCATCCGCACAGGAAACCAAGAGCTAACCGACAACTAAGACTAGACAGGGCCGGGCGCGGTGGCTCACACCTGTAATCTCAGCACTTTGGGAGGCCAAGGTGGGCGGATCATGAGGTCAGAAGTTCAAGACCAGCCTGACCAACATGGAGAAACCCCGTCTCTACTAAAAATACAAAAATTAGCCAGGTGTGGTGGTGTGCACCTGTAATCCCAGCCACTCAGGAGGCTGAGGCAGGAGAATTGCTTGAACCTGGGAGGTGGAGGTTGCAGTGAGCCGAGATCGTGCCACTGCACTCCTGCCTGGGCAACAGAGTGAGACTCCGTCTCAAAAAAAAAGAGTAGACAAGGACTGACGGAGGCCAACTTCAGACTTGGTCTCTGGAGCACTGAACCCCACTTTGCTCCAGTGTTGTCAGAACAAAGAACTATAGAGACACTGTCCCCCAGTCACACAGAAACAAAAGATACCAACATTGAGAACTAATCCCAAAACAGACAATGGAATAGGGCAGAGATTGCAATATTATCTTAAAGAGACCAACTAGGTCCCTGGCCAAAAAAAAAAAAAAAAAAACTGACAGTAACCTGATAGAATAATTAACAAATCTAAAAACGTGTCAATCCAAAGATGAACAGAACCTCAAAACCACATGCTGTCCAATATTATCCAGTAGAGAGAAGACTTGGCCATAAGCTTTAGAACATTCTGGTTCCTCTACCCACCATCTTTCTTCAGCTTTCACTGCCACATATAAAGACTGCCATGTCTACCAGCAGCCCCAGAAGGTGAAAATCTGGGACCCCTAAGAATACTTGTTGATTTGGGGTCCACAAGCCCAAGCTAAGAGGATATCTTGAGACTATCCGATGCATAGTTTCCAGTCCTCTGTATCCAGAGATAGCCACTTAGGTCATCTTGGAAGAAGAATTATTTTAGATAAATTCAGAGAAGATAGTAGGCCATAACTATTCTTAAGGACAAGAGTAGTTCATTTCTCTGTTAGCACACTACAATTCACAATGTAGAAATCACAAGATAATTTTTTTTAATAATCTTGGAATGAAGCCTTTTCTAGGTGTGACACAAAATCTAAAAGTCACAAGATAGACCTGACAACACAAATTAAAAAAAGAAATTTTGTATAGATGGGCTCTCACTATGTTGTCCAGACTGGGCTTGAACTCCTGGCCTCAAGCAATCCTACTGCCTCGGCCTCCCAAAGTGCTGGCATTACAGGTGTGAGCCACCACACCTGCCCACAACACAAATTTTTTAAAAACCTTCATAGAAAAAAAGTTAAAAGACTGCAAAAAAAAAATGTTTTCAACGTATTTCAGGGACAAAAATGCTTATTTCCTTAACAAATACAGAGCTCCTTGAAATTACTAAACATCAACAACCCAATAGAAAAATGGGCTAAGGGCATAAAGAGTTCATAGAAAAGAAATTCAGTGATTCTTACCATATGAAAGGAGATCCAATTTCACTCAAAAGAAAGGAAAGAAAACTTAATATTCTATAATGATATATATTTCACCTATCAAATTGGCCTGTACCCACCCCTTCACCTCACTGAAAATCCCTGGGGGCCCACATATCCTTCAAGACAGCAGCAGACCCCATGCCACCCCCAGGCTTGGGACTGACAGCAGTGCAGAGAAGGAACATGCAGGCACCAGAGAAAACCCACAAAAGAAGTGAATCGAACATTAACATCTCCCTCTGTAAAACACAAAGAACAGAGCTCTAGCCACCACTCAGGCCTTTAAAGTAAGGAGCAAATGGCCTGACAGACACATTCTCTCCACTGTGTCAGTGTCTCTCCAGCAGGATTCCTCCGCCCAGTGTTTTTGCCATTGGCCTATTATTTATTCCTCACAGCCCCTTGGAGCAGTGTGCTGGGACTGTCATCCTCCATGCTGATGGGGCTGTGAGGCCAGGCACTGCTGTGCTTCTTGTCTGAGGTCATCAAGCAACTTGGGGACACATTAGTCAAGTCAGCCCCCGGAACAGAGGCTGAGACGAAGGTGGGGGCATCAGTTGACAGCTCAGCAAGGGAGAAGAAAGGCTGATAACCAACTGAGGAAATGACGGTCATGTCAGACACAGCCCTAAAGGAGGCGGCGAGGCAAGTGCTTTTAAAAAGCCTCAGGTTTTTGCTTCTAATAGAGCTTAGAATTCACCACACATAGTGTTAGAGAAAACTATCATTGGCCGGGCACAGTGGCTCACGCCTGGAATCCCAGCATTTTGGGAGGCTGAGGCAGGTGGATCATGAGGTCAGGAGTGCGAGACCAGCCTGGCCAGGATGATGAAACCCCATCTCTACTAAACATACAAAGATTAGCCGGACGTGGTGGCAGACGCCTGTAGTCCCAGCTACTTGGGAGGCTGAGGCAGAAAACTCGCTTGAACCCAGGAGGCAGAGGTTGCAGTGAGCTGAGATTGCACCACTGCACTCCAGCCTGGCGACAGAGCAAGACTCTGTCTCAAAAAAAAAAAAAAGAGAGAGAGAGAGAGAAAACTACCATCATCTTAAGCAAAGCTGGCATGGGTCTGTGGCTAAAAGGTCCTCGCTTTCTCTCTCCCTGACACACACACGCACACACACACACTCACTCTCTCACTCTCTCTCTCTCTCTCTCTCTCTCTCTCAGTGGCATCTTCGTGTTCCAGTCTGAACTGCTGGCCAGCCAGCCAGCCAGGTCAGGGATGAATGACAAGGTGGCCCAGAAGACCAGTCCTGGCAGCCACAGTGGCCGTGCCGAAGCCTGGTCTGTGCAGGGACTGTGGTCTTCATGGGTTGCTCAGGCAACTCAAGTATCTCACTACCCACAACCCGCAATGTGCTGCAGAAGCCAAGACGAACTTCATTAACACGCTTGACCTGTGGCAACCCTCATGACCCAGCAGCCCTGCAGAATCCAGCCAGGCTAGGAAACGCAGGGGCAGACAGTGAATAAATGTCTACAGCCCTCCGCTAAGATTCTGTGACACTGTTTTCAGATACACCCACAAAAAGGAAGCACTAATAGACCCAGCTGGGGACAGTTTATAAAGCAGTTTCACATGCAAGATAATCCCAATCACGCAAGATCATCAGAGCACAAATTTTCCTCCCCAGTTGCGAAGTCAGAAAATAGAGGTGGAGGGAGAGAGGACCTCTGGTTTAGAAGGGACTTGAGAAACACTCAAACATTGCTGTTGGGATTTTGCCAAACTCTGGAAAAGTCTGCCAAACTCTGGCAAATCGCCAAACTCTGGAAAAGTCTGCCAATTTTTTATAAAATGAAACAAGTAACTACCAAAAGACCCAGCTACTGTACTTTCAGGCATTTATATCAGAGAAATAAAAATTTATGTCCATACAACAAAATGCAGCTTTATGCATACTAGCCGCAAACTGGGGACAACCAAGCTGTCCTTAAATGGATGGTTAAGCAAACTGGTATATTCGCATGATGAAATACGACTCAGCAATTAAAAAGTGAATTACTGACACGCAACAACTGGAATGAACCTCTTGAGGATTATGTTGAGAAAAAAGGCCTATCTCAAAAGGTTACATACTTTAGGATTCCATTGATACACATTCTTGAAATACAGAAATGAAGGAGGAAATTAGTGGTTGCTACGGGTCAGAGGAGGTGGGTGTGGCTGTAAAAGGCAGCACGAAGGATCTTTGTGGGGATAAACGTTCTCAGCTTGATGGTATCAAAGTCACTATCCTGGCCGGGCACGGTAGCTCATGCCTGGAATCCCAGCACTGTGGGAGGCCGAGGCGGGTGAATTACCCAAGGTCACGAGTTCAAAACCAGCCTGGGTAACATGATAAAACCCTGTCTCTACTAAAAATACAAAAATTAGCCAAATGTGGTGGCAGGCGACTGTAATATCAGCTACTCGGGAGGCTGAGGCAGGAGAATCGCTTGAACCCAGGAGGTGAAGGTTGCAGTCAGCCGAGATCGTGCCACTGCACTCCAGCCTGGGCAACACAGCAAGGCTCTGTCTCAAAACTAACAGACAACAACAACAAAAACAATATCCTGGTTGTTGTATTTGCTATAGTTTTTGCAAGATGTTACCACTGGGGGAAAGTGGGTAAAGGATCTCTGTATTGCTTCTTACAACCTCATGGTAATCTACAATTATCTTAAAATTTAAAGTTTAATTTTTTTTTTTTTTTTTTTTTGAGAGGGAGTCTCACTCTGTCACCCAGCCTGGAGTGCAGTGGCACGATCTCAGCTCACTGCAAGCTCTGCCTCCCGGGTTCACACCATTCTCCGAGTAGCTGGGACTACAGGCCCCCACCACCACGCCCAGCTAATTTTTTGTATTTTTAGTAGAGACGGGGCTTCACTGTGTTAGCCAGGATGGTGTCAATCTCCTGATCTCGTGATCCACCCGCCTCGGCCTCCCGAAGTGCTACGATTACAGGCGTGAGCCACCACGCACGGCCTAAAGTTTAATTTTGAAAGAGAGAATGGGAAAGACTCAAGAGTCAACCAAATGAAACATGTAGTCAATTCAAGAATGTGAATCCTGCATGGATACTAGATGGCAATAAGGTGATTATTTATTGTTAGTTTTGCTAAATGTAATAAAAATAGCGCATTTAATACAAATAGTACTTTCCAGCCAGTTGCGGTGGCTCACACCTGCAATCCCAGCACTTTGGGAGGTCGCGGTGGGAGGATCACTTGAGGTCAGGAGTTCAGGACCAGCCTAAGCAACATGGTGAAACCCCATCTCTACTAAAAATACAAAAATTAGCCGGGCGTGGTGGCACGTGCCTGTAATCCCAGCTACTCAGGAGGCTGAGGCAGGAGAGTCACTTGAACCTGGAAGGCAGAGGTTGCAGTGAAAGATTTGGCCATTGCACTCCAGCCTGGGTGACAGAGCAAGACTCCGTCTCAAAAAAAAAAAGTACTTTTCTGTTAGAGAGACTTATCAAAATATTTAAAAATAAAATAAGATCTGGTATTTGCTTCTGGGGGAGAAGGCGATGGGTGGGAGTCGAGATGAAAAGGGGCAGGCCATGAGTTGGTAACTACTGAAGCCGGTGATGAGTACACAGGCATTCATTATGCTCTCCTCTCTCCTTCTGTGGATATTTGAAATTTTCCATAATAAAAGGTGGAGGGGGAAAAAAAAAGGCCCACGGAGGATGTTCAGTGCCTCGCCATCAGTAAGAGAGAGAAACAAGGCTTTAACCTGGGTCTTCAGACCCTTCTACCACAGGCTGAGCCAGCCTGGAAGAGCCACGAGGGCAGGTGAGGAGCTGCCCCGGGCAGACTGTGGGATGGCTCGCGGGTCTGAGGAGCGCCTGGGGCATCGGGCCTGCAGGTCCCATGTTGTTGCTCCCTAATCAGCATATGGTGTGCAAAGCAGCCCCACACACAGTTGGTGGCACTGCAGATGGAGGCCACCAGGCCCGGGAGACTCAGCTACATCAGAGATGCCACACGTCTGGCTGGGCAGGAGGGCTCCAGGAAACAGCCAGCCCTGCCCTTCTTCAACAGAGGGTTTGGAGGTTCTCAGGCAACAGGAAAACAGTGACTTTATTCTACTCACCTTGGAAAGTGGGACCGACAGACAGGCCTTCTGTTATGTGCAAGATGTTCTACCTTGTACAAGAGGTGTACACTCTATGGAAAAAAGATAGCCTTGCTCAAATACCACATCCTCCTCAAAGCCTTCCCCAAATTCCTTAGCCAAAGGTGCCGCCTCCTTGGCACTTCACAGCTCTCTCTGTGCTGAGATCCCCTTGTATCAGTTACCTACTGCTGCATAACAAGTTAACCCAAAACTTAGCAGCTGCAAACAACAAATATTTATTTATCTTACAGATAAATAAATAAGCTGTAAGATAAATATGTTATTTATCTGAGACAATTCAGGCAAGCTTAGCCTCTGGCCCACGGGCTGCAATCAAGGTTGGCTAGGGCTCAACTATGTAAAGACTCAATTCCCCTCTCACTCGTGTGGCTGCTGGTGGGCCTCAGATCCTCCCTGGCTGCTGGCCAGAGACATCAGTTCCTCACCATGCAGGCCTCTCCACAGGGCAGCTCATATCATGGCAGCTGAATTCCTCCAGGCAAGGCTCAGAGAGAGAGACAGAAAGTGCCCAAGACAGAAGCAGCAGGCTTTTATAACACAGTCCCAGAGTGACAGGCCATCACTTTTGCCAGATTCTATTCACTAGAAGCATGTCAATAAGTCCAGCCTACATCAAGGGACAGGGACCCACCAGGGCACGACTCCTAGGAGGCAGGGATGACCGGGGGCCGTGTTAGAGGCTGCCCACCACATACCCCAACAGAGGTGGTATTTGGATGACACCTATTCCTTTCTTTTTTGTATGACAGGTGTTTGTACATTTATGTAAATGTCCAATTCCCCAACTAGAAAGTGAAGTTGTGAGGGCAAACCGCACATCTGACTCACATCTGTTCCCCTCCCCTCCTGTGCCTAGCACAGCACAGCATCCAGTCTCGGTGTCAGCTCTATATCTGAGAGTGGCAGTCAGCCCACCTGCCCACTGCCCACACGCCTGCCGAAGAGGCCCAGCTGGCTGCGTGTGGCACCACATGGTCCCACCTGCTCTGGTCCTGGCTGACTGGACCAACCACAACAAAAAAAATGAACAACGTATGACCTGCAGGCTGGCCTATGGGAAAATACCAAGAGACAACGCTCGTGACGGGAAAGTCACAACAAAGGCCATGCAAGCTTCAGTTCTGCAGGAACAGAAAAGCACATTTTTAGAAGGCAGCTGTAGAGAGGAGAAAATAAAGAAGTGTAGACAGAAACAATTATTCCATTAGAGAAAGAGAGAGAAGAAATCACCAAAAGATGGGTCCCAGAGCTACCCCTAATAAACCCTCTGTCACTGAGCTGAGCTGCATGAGTCCCACTTTCTCACGGGGGAGCGAGGTGAGGGAAAAGGAAGGGCAGACAAAGAGCGTCCAGAGTCCCCGGGAGGTCACTGGGCGAGGGCCACGACACCCAGCAGGGGGCTTGCAAGAGGAGTTTCCTTGAGGTTAGCTCCCAAATCAGCTCACAATCAGAAGCTCACTCCCATCCTAGGTGCCGTGAATTCTCCAAATTTCACAGGTCTGTGATTAAGGACTATGACAAACCTTATTATGTGATCAATGATGCTTTAAAAGAAAAAATACTGTACCTGACTCCCCCAACCCAAGACAGAAGGGAAGCCATCGCCCACCTCCCCTTACGTGGCTCACTCGCCTCTCAGGGGGAAGCTATCTCCCAGAGTGTAAGATGCCAGTGGGGTTAGGACAGGAACCGGCTCACCCTGTTAAGAAGCCAGTCCTCACTAGGGCAAGAAGCCTGTATGGAGGACAGACAGAGGAAGTGCAAAAGCCAAGGGTTAAGGCAGAGGAGACCTACGCCAGGTCCCCGGAGACAAGCCGCTCTCAAACTGTCTTGTCATCGAGTGCCACACCCGCTGGACCCCACTCACGTGGTGGAGTCACTCCGCTGCTGCGTGCTCCTGTCCACACAGGGTGGGAATCCTCCTCACCCCCTCGGCCCCATCAAGGGCTTTCAGATTTTACAGAAACGTTCCGGCTCTTGCCATCTCAGCCACATCAGGCCCGACTTAGGACCCTCTGGGACCTTTACAACCCCAGAGGTCAGTGTCAGGCAGCCCCACCGAAGCCGCACACTTGGGCCCTCCTGACAGGCAGAGCCGGTGACAGGGCTCGGGCGAGGCCTTCAAGCCAGAACGGAGAGCTCAGCAAGCCCAGGCAGTGGGACGGCAGAGTGTGGGTCTGAACCAGAGAAAAAGGCTGCAGCACAGGAGGGATGACCGGGGAGCAGCAGGAACGCTGACCAGGAAAACCCGCCAGGCAAGGGGAGGCCGGGCCCACACCCTGCAGCCCACTCTCTCTGGAGGCCCAGCTATCGCCCGGAATATTCCAAAGGCTATCCAGAAGCCAGAGTAAGGGGACAGAAAACGGAAAAGCAGGCCCGAGACTCCGTCCAAGGCGGCTGACCAGCAGGACCTGGCCATCAGCAACTACACACAGGACTTGAGTACAGAAATGAGTCTTCTCCAGCCAGGGACAGTGCACAAAGTTCGGGACAAAGAGAAGACGCTCAGCAGAGTCAGCCCCAGAGGCGGCTTGGCAAACACACCAGAGGGACACACAGGGATCTGACACCATCTGGGCAGCAGCAGCTGCAGTCCAGGCTGAGGCCCCGGCCGCCCGCACACCCTGGCCCAGAATGCCTGCTCGGCCCCTCCCCCAGCCTTCACCCCAAGCCTTCAAGGCTAACCTCTCCTCATCCTCCTCAAAGCTTCCTCTCTGTGCCCTGACAGAACTGACAGCACCTGGTGCATTCTCCGTGCAAACAACCCCCACACCCCGCTGAAGTCAGGACAGGACAGGACGCTGCTCTGCTGACCTCTCGCCTCTTGCTCCCTGTGTGACACCCACTCACTTGGGGTCCCTCCACCAACCGGAAGGTGAGCTCCCCAAGGGCAGGACTGCTGTCGTGCCCCAGTGCCCTGAACACAGTGGGCAGGAGGACGGACTCCTCATGGGTGAGGCGAGGCCCAGAAAAAAGTTGGCTGACGTCCTGGCAAGAAGTAATAAGAGCCAGCTGATGCCTTTGACCGATAGCCAAGAATTTAAAAGAAGATCTTGACAAATTAAAAGACAGAATCTAATGAAGGGGACCAAAACGGGAAATATTACTGTTCAACCAATTTGGCAACTATTTTCATTAGCTTAGAAAGAGCTTCTGGCATTAAATTAGTAGAAAATGGTCTCTACCACGTTACTATTTTTAGCATTTTATGACAAATTTGCTCAGCTGTCCCTCTTCAGAATAAGAGAACCGAAATGCCTCAAATTTGCTCCATAAGAGCTGCCAGAAAATAGTTTTCACTGAAATCACTGGACACATGTTTATACCCTTTGTTCAGTATTTGTTCAGATGTTTTCACTCAGGCAAGTTCCTGAATGTCTGTTTTTTCCTTTGCTTTCTTCCACACCAAGAACCCCTGCTCCTCCCCCCAGCTGAACGCTGACAGTCAAGGGCAGCACCCGCCACAGCAGGAATCAGAGTTCTCCAGGCTTGGGGAACCATCAAGAAATGGCTATCCCACAAATTCAAGCTCCTGGTTGTGACTAACCCTAAGGAGTGTTCAGAGTCCACTGGATTCACCAGAAGCTGCGGGATTCCACCCCCAAAGGTTCTCCAGTGGGGTTCAGAAAAAGGGCAAAGGCAGGCCGGGCATGGTAGCTCACGCCTGTAATCCCAGCACTCTGGGAGGCTGAAGCAGGTGACTCACCTAAGGTGAGGAGTTCGAGACCAGCCTGGCCAACATGGTGAAACCCCGTCTCTACTAAAAATACAAAAATTAGCCGGGCGTGGTGGCTCACGCCTGTAATCCCAGCTACTTGGGAGGCTGAGGCAGGAGAATCGCTTGAACCAGGAGGTGGAGATTGCAGTGAGCCAAGATCGAGCCTCTGCACTCCAGGCTGGGTGACAGAGCAAGACTCCATCTCAAAAGAAGAAAAAGGGCGAAGGCAGTGAGCCAGCTCTGGCAGACTGAGGGGACCCCTAAAATAAAGTAGTTCAAGATAACACCTAACAAAACGGTATTCATTTAATTCATTTGATGAATATTTATTGACTGCCTACTATGTGTCTGTATCGCTCTGGGAACTGGGAACACAGCAGTGAATGAAACACACAGAACTTCCTGCCCCCATGGAGCTTACATCTGGGTGGGGCAGATAGATGATCAAAACAAACAAAAAAAAGCAAAATCCATTCCACATGAGCAGACGATAAGAACTATGAAGAGAAAGAAAGCAAGGAAGGGCCAGGGCCCTTCATCACAGAAGATGAGCACGATTTCACACAGGACGGCCAGGGATGGCCTCATTGCACAAAGATCTGGAGGAGGAGAGGGGGCAAGCCACGGAATGCCACCGGGAAGATCTGGAGGAGGAGAGGGGGCAAGCCACGGAATGCCACCAGGAAGATCTGGAGGAGGAGAGGGGGCAAGCCACAGAATGCCACCAGGAAGATCTGGAGGAGGAAAGGGGGCAAGCCACGGAATGCCACCAGGAAGATCTGGAGGAGGAGAGGGGGCAAGCCACAGAATGCCACCAGGAAGATCTGGAGGAGGAGAGGGGGCAAGCCACAGAATGCCACCGGGAAGATCTGGAGGAGGAGAGGGGGCAAGCCACGGAATGCCATGGGAAGATCTGGAGGAGGAGAGGGGGCAAGCCACGGAATGCCACCGGGAAGATCTGGAGGAGGAGAGGGGGCAAGCCATGGAATGCCACCGGGAGAGTGGCCCAGGTGGAGGGAGCAGGAAGCGGGGGTGGCCACGGTAGGGTGAGTGACAGCACAGTGCAGGCTGAAGCCAGGGCTGCTGGATCCGATGGGATCGGATCCGACAGGATGGGATGCGAGGATCTGCCACTGGGAAGAAAAGGGCCTTGCCCACAGGCTCACAGAAACGTGGTAACGGAGTTAAATTCTGGTCAGCTGCACCTGGTGTGGCCTTTTGGGGACACACAGAACAGGCTGGGTTCCAGTTTCCCAGGACAGCCCTTCAGAAGACAGTGAGTCTTCTGGGGCAGGGTCCCCAAGCCCCATGCGAACAGGTACAGGTCAGTGGCCTGGTAGGAACCCGGCCGCACAGCAGGCGGTGGGAGGCGGGCCAGTGAGCATCACCACCTGGGCTCCACCTCCTGTCAGATCAGCAGCATCAGATTCTCAAAGAAACACAAACCCTACTGTGAACTGCGCATGCGAGGGATCTAGGCTGCATGCTCCTTATGAGACTCTGACGAATGCCTGATGATCTGAGGTGGAACCGTTTCATCCCAAAACCAGCCCCCAACCACCCCTCGGTCCACTGAAAAACTGTCTTCTGTGAAACCAGTCACTGGTGCCACAAAGGCTGAGGACTGCTGTTCTAAGGCGTTTAGGCCCAGTTCCCTTGAGGGTTGATGTTGAGAACCCTCAGTCACCCTCTGGGTTGAGATCCTCTGAAGCCACTTGTTGGTCAGTGCCGCGAGGGCGCTCCACCCATGGTATGCCGCCAGACCCACACCTCCTCTTCAACAACTCCATCCCCGGGGCCCCCACCACAATTCATGATCCACGGAAAGTCCTCCCAATCCCTCTGGGTCCAAGGCAAACCCAAAGCTATTTCAAATCTGGAAGTACAACCAAGTAAGTGAATAATTAAAATGGCACACCCAACGACATGCTCTATTGGCAGGGGACAGGAAAGGCTGGCTGATATGAGGTAGCTTTGGCTGGAAGGTGAGGCTTTCCTGCCCACATCCGCATCCCAACAGAGAGCTACACAAGTGTTATTTATTACGCTAATCTGAGGGCAGCACTTCTTTCTTTCTTTTTTTTTTTTTTTTTTGAGACGGAGCTTCGCTCTTGTTGCCCAGGGTGGAGCACAATGGCACAATCTTGGCTCACCGCAACCTCCACTTCCTGGGTTCAAGTGATTCTCCTGCCTCAGCCTCCCGAGTAGCTGGGATTACAGGCATGCGCCACCATGCCCAGCTAATTTTGTATTTTTAGTAGAGATGGGGTTTCTCCATGTTGGTCGGGCTAGTCTCAAACTCCCAACCTCAGGTGATCCACCTGCCTCAGCCTCCCAAAGTGCTGGGATTACAGGCGTGAGCCACCACGCCCGGCGAGGGCAGCATTTCTTAAAGTGAGTACTGTGGAAAACCCGCTCTCAGAATGTGAATAGGTATTCCTCAAAAAGGCATTCTGTGGTCAATCGTGTGTAAGCGATGTTGGTTACACAAAGCTAAATGTTTTTTACTGCAGTACCTATCAGAGCTTTTGGTTTGCTCCAAAGGGAAAAGTACTAATACTATCTAACACTTACCAAGCATCTCTCGGTATCAGGCCCTGGAACTTTTCACACAGTATCTCAGCCAGTCCTCCCCACCACCCCGGTGAGGCCTACATGGTCACTATTCCCATTTTACAGACAAAGAATGCTGCTCAGAGAAGGCAGGTTTTCACTCACGATCTGTGTTAGGAGTCACGAGGGGTTTAGGCAATACCAGATGTGATTTTGGTTTCTGAAAGCAAAACATTAGGAGCCATCGCAGGTGGGAGATTCAAAAGCCACTGTTACCTGCATCACTGGGGTGGAATGCAGAACTCTCTGGTAAACCAGGTTAGAGAATGTGGCTTAGGCTCAAAGTCTGAGCAAGACCTTAGACTCCTCCAGCCCCGTTTGCCTGAGGGGTAGAGAAGACAGCAGAAAGCAGTGTCCCTTCCCCTCCTCTGCAGAGGTCAGCCCCGTTACAGTTCACTTCTCCTGCCTCAGGGCTAAGAAGAAAATTCCAGAAAGAAGGAAAGCCCCCTCTGTGCATGGGACCATGCTCACTAGTCAACAGGGTCCTGGAATCACATTCTATTCCACCCTCCTATGGGGCAGAATCAGGGAGGGAGGAGGCTCTCCCTCTTCCCTGCATCAGCCAACCAGGATACTAAAGGGCAGAGTGAGACCTCACTCCCAGGCCTGCTGACCCCACCCATGTCCATCCTAAACCAGCCCCCACCCCCGTCAATCCTCAGACCACTTCTTTCTGAAGCAAGCAGGGGCCACAGGGCTAACTATGGGAACCAGCATGCACCGTCAGCCCCTTTCAGTCAGGATCTCAGAGGCTGGAAAACCATCTACATACGGCATCCACAATCGTAGGGGGGCAGTGGCGCCCTTGTGTCTGCTTTCTCCTGGTACTGAGGCTGATGGAGCAGGGGCAGAGAACAGGCTGCCCTGGAATCTCCAATCCTTATCCACTGTACCCCAGGTTCCAGAACGCACGCACATCCCCCTGCAGGAACCCTCCCCTTAGAAACATGTCTGCCTCATGACGGCTAATTAAACATTGATTACTGGTGCTCGCTTCGGCAGCACATATACTAAAATTGGAACGATACAGAGAAGATTAGCATGGCCCCTGCGCAAGGATGACATGCAAATTCGTGAAGCGTTCCATATTTTTGGAAAAAATGTTAAGGGCAGCCAGAGAGAAAGGTCGGGTTACCCTCAAAGGGAAGCCCATCAGACTAACAGCGGATCTCTCGGCAGAAACCCTACAAGCCAGAAGAGAGTGGGGGCCAATATTCAACATTCTTAAAGAAAAGAATTTTCAACCCAGAATTTCATATCCAGCCAAACTAAGCTTCATAAGTGAAGGAGAAATAAAATACTTTACAGACAAGCAAATGCTGAGAGATTTTGTCACCACCAGGCCTGCCCTAAAAGAGTTCCTGAAGGAAGCACTAAACATGGAAAGGAACAACCGGTACCAGCCGCTGCAAAATCATGCCAAAATGTAAAGACCATCGAGACTAGGAAGAAACTCCATCAACTAACGAGCAAAATAACCAGCTAACATCATAATGACAGGATCAAATTCACACATAACAATATTAACTTTAAATGTAAATGGACTAAATGCTCCAATTAAAAGACACAGACTGGCAAATTGGATAAAGAGTCAAGACCCATCAGTGTGCTGTATTCAGGAAACCCATCTCACGTGCAGAGACACACATAGGCTCAAAATAAAAGGATGGAGGAAGATCTACCAAGCCAATGGAAAACAAAAAAAGGCAGGGGTTGCAATCCTAGTCTCTGATAAAACAGACTTTAAACCAACAAAGATCAAAAGAGAC